>NC_000017.11:2612323-2763838 GCF_000001405.40 Homo sapiens | reverse complement strand
GTGGAATACAGCCCCGGCCACCTGCACAGCCTTCACCTCCTGGCCCCACCCAGCCTCCCCTCCCCTCCTCCCGCTCTCCACCCCCATCTCCCAGAGGCTGTGAATGAGGGATTTTCTTTTATTCTTTATTCTTTTTTTGTTTTGAGACAGAGTCTCTCTGTGTCACCCAGGCTGGAGTGCAGTGGTACAATCTCGGCTCATTGCAACCTCCACCTCCCAAGTTCAAGAGATTCTCCTGCCTCAGCCTCCCTAGTAGCTGGGATTACAGGCACCCGCCACCACGCCCAGCTAATTTGTGCATTTTTAGTAGAGACAGGGTTGCACCATGATTGCCAGCCTGGTCTTGAACTCCTGACTTCAGGTGATCCACCTGCCTCGGCCTCCCAAAGCGCTGGGATTCCAGGCATGAGCTGCCGCACCCGGCCTTCCTTAACCTTGATCACAGCATTTCTCTGCCTGCCTGGATGTTAGTTATTTATGTGCCTGTCTGTCTCACTGCTGAAGTACAAAGGCTGTATCTGATCCATCTCTGAAATCCCCACAACATCCTTACACAGCCCTCTGGTCTTCGAAGCCAGCCTGCTGTAAAAATCACAGCAAGAACAGTGATCAACTAACTACATCCTCGGAATGCTCTGACACAGATGATCCCCACTAACGAGTCCAACTTGTTAACGTAGAAAATATGTTTGCTGAATTGGATTGCATTGAATATAAGGAAAAGTAAACTGCCATCTCCAACTATCTTCCCTATCACCTTGCCGTGTATCTGAAATCCCGCTGAACACTACACTGAAGGAGAGTAACTGCTACAGAGGGCCAACCTTTTCAATCACTATCAGCCACTCAAACTTCGGCAAGAAAGCTGGGTGTGGTGGCTCACACCTGTAGTCCCAGTACTTTCAGAGGCTGAGGTAGGAGGATTGCTTGAGTCCGGGAGTTCGAGACCAGCGTGGGCAACGTGGCAAAACCTTATCTCTACAAAAGATAAATAATTAGCCAGGTATGGTGGCGTGCACCTATAGCCCCAGCTACCAAGGAGGCTGAGGCAGGAGGATCACTTGAAGTGACGAGACCCAGTGCTAGGGCCCGAATTTTTGTGTCCCCACAAAATTTCTATGTTGAAATCCTAACCCAGGCTGGGTGCAGTGGCTCACGTAATTCCAGCATAGCACTTTGGGAGGCCAAGGCAAGTGGATCATCTGAGGTAAGGAGTTCGAGACCAGCTTGGCCAGCATGGTGAAATCCCATCTCTACCAAAAAAAAAACAAAAATTAGCCAGGTGTGGTTGTGGGCACCTCTAATCCCAGCTATTCAGGAGGCTGAGGCAGGAGAATCACTTGAACCTGGGAGGTGGAGGTTGCAGTGAGCCGAGATCGTGCCACTGCACTCCAGCCTCGGCGACAGAGTAAGACTCTGTCTCAAAAAAAAAAAAAAAAAAGAAAGAAAAAAGAAACTTTTACAACTCAATAATACAAAGACAACTAACACAATTTAAACATGGGCAAAGGATCTGAATAGTCCTTTCTCTAAAAAGGATATATAAATGGACGGCCAGGCGCAGTGGCTCACGCCTGTAATCCCAGCACTTTGGGAGGCCGAGGCAGGTGGATCACGAGGTCAGGAGATCGAGATCATCCTGGCTAACACGGTGAAACCCCGTCTCTACTAAAAACACAAAAAATTAGCTGGGCGTGGTGGCGGGCGCCTGTAGTCCCAGCTACTCGGGAGGCTGAGATAGAGAATGGCGTGAACCTGGGAGGCGGAGCTTGCAGTAAGCCAAGATTGCACCACTGTGCTCCAGCATGGGCAACAGAGCAAGACTCCGTCTCAAAAAAAAAAAAAAAAAAAAAAAAAAAGATATATAAACGGACAATAACTACATGAAAAGATGCCCGACGTCATCAGCCATCAGGGAAATGCAAATGAAAACCACAATGAGACACCATTTCACACTCACTAGGATGGCTATAAGCAAAGACAGAGATAATAACAAGTGTTGATGGGGATGTGGAAAAACCGGAACCTTCGTACACAGCTGGTGCACATTCCCACACCCAGCACCAATTTATTTATTTTATTGTATTTCTTTTCTCAAACAAATTCTGCGACCTGTACTTCACCATTTTACTCAAGGGACTAGAGCATCCTTGAATTCTGGTATCCCCAAGGGTGCTGAAACCAATCCCCCAAGGATACAAAGGGACAACTGTATATACCCTTGACGATATGATGAGAATGGCACCCCCCTGGCCGGGTGCGGTGCCTCACACCTGTAATCCCAGCACGTTGGGAGGCCGAGGCGGGCAGATCACCTGAGCCTGGGAGTCTGAAACCAGCCTGGCCAACGTGGAGAAACCCCGTCTCTACTAAAAATACAAAATTAGCTGGGAGTGGTGGCACATGCCTGTAATCCCAGCTGTTTGGGAGGCTGAGGCAAGAGAATCGCTTGAACCCGGGGGACGGAGGTTGCGGTGAGCTGAGATCACACCATTGCACTCCAGCCTGGGCAACAAGAGTGAAACTCCGTCTCAAAAAAAAAAAAAAAAGAAAAAAGACCAAAAAGAGAAAATGGCACCCCACCGGCCAGGCTCAGTGGCTCACTCCTGTAATCCCAGCACTTTGGGAGGCCGAGATGGGTGGATCATTTAAGGTCAGGAGTTCAAGACCAGCCTGGCCAACAAGGTGAAACCTCAACCCTACTAAACATACAAAAATTAATTAGGCATGGTGGCACACGCCTGTAATCCCAGCTACTCGGGAGGCTGAGGCAGAAGAATCGCTTGAACCCCGGAGGCGGAGGTTGCAGTGTGCAGAGATCACACCATTGCACTCCAGCCTGGACAACAAGAGTGAAACTGTGTCTCAAAAAAAAAGAAAAAGAAAGAAAAGAAAAGAAAATGGCACCCATCCCTGTGATCCTCCTCCCCAAAACTCATAATACCAGTTTAATCATGAGAAAAACATCAGAGAAATCCCAACTGAGTGAGTGGCAATCTACAAAATATGAGCAGTACTCCTCAAAAACTGTCAAGGTCATCTAAAACAAGGAACGTCTGAGAAGCTTTCACAGCTAAGAGGAGCTCAACGAAGCACAGGAACTAAACGTAATGCGGTATCTTGAATGGGGCCCTAGAACAGGGAAAGGACATTAGGGAAAATTAAAGTTTACCGTAAGTAAAAAAAAAAGTGAAAGTTGGCCAGGCGCGGTGGCTCACGCCTGTAATCCCAGCACTCTGGGAGGCCAAGGTCGATGGATCACCTGAGGTCAGGAGTTCAAGACCAGCCTGGCCAACATGGTGAAACCCTGCCTCTACTAAAAATACAAAAATTAGCCGGGTGTGGTGGCACACACCTGTAATCTCAGCTACTCAGGAGGCTGAGGCAGGAGAATTGTTTGAACCCAGGAGGCAGAGGCTGCAGTGAGCTGAGATTGCGCCACTACACTCCACCCTGGGCGACAGAGCAAGACTCCGTCTCAAAAAAAAGTGAAAGTTAACGAGACCATTTTTCTTTTTTCTTTTCTTTTTTTTTTTTTTTTTTTTTGAGACAGAGTCTCGCTCTGTCCCCCAGGTTGGAGTGCAGTGGCGCGATCTCAACTCACTGCAAGCTCCGCCTCCCAGGTTCACACCATTCTCCTGCCTCAGCCTCCCCAGTAGCTGGGACTACAGGCTCCCGCCACCACGCCTGGCTAATTTTTTGTATTTTTGGTAGAGACGGGGTTTCACCGTGTTAGCCAGGATGGTCCAAGAGACCATTTTTCATCAGTGAGATTGGCCAAGATTTTAAAGTTTGTTAATCGCAGCATGAGCAAAATTGTGAAGAAACTGGCATCTCACACATCACTGGAGATAATATAAAACGGTACAACTTCTTTGGAGGTCAGGTTGGCAATATCTTTTTCAATATGCAAATGTTTTTACCCTGCAATTTCACTTTGAAGAATATATCCAACCATGGGCCAGGCGCGCTGGCTCAAATCTATAATCTCAACACTTCGGGAGGCAAATGCATCACTTGAGCCAGGAGTTTCAGACCAGCCTGGGCAACATGGTGAAAACCTGCTTCTATAAAAAATACAAAGAATTGGCCGGGCGCGGTGGCTCATGCCTGTAATCCCAGCATTTTGGGAGGCCAAAGCGGGCAGATCACCTGAGGTCAGGAGTTTGAGACCAGCCTGGCCAACATGGTGAAACCCCATCTCTACTAAAAATATAAAAATTAGCCGGGTATGGTGGCAGGCGCCTGTAATCCCAGCTACTCCGGGGGCTGAGGCAGGAGAATTGCTTGAACCTGGGAGGCGGAGGTTGCAGTGAGCTGAGGTTGTACCATTGCACTCCAGCCTGGGCGACAAGAGTGAGACTCTGTCTCAAAAAATAAAATACAAAAAATTAGCTGGGCGTGGTGGCACGTGCCTGTAGTCCCAGTTACTCAGGGGGCTGAGGTGGAAGGATCACCTGAGCCTAGCGGGTAGAGGCTACAGTGAGCTGTGATTGAGCCACTGCACTCTATCCTGGGTGACAGAGCAAGATTCTGTCTCAAAAAATAAAAAATAATAAAGTATCCAACCACTATCTTTGCACAAGTATGCACAGATATAGATTCAAGAATGTTCTTTGCCACAATGCTTGTAATATCAAAATGTTCAAAATACTTGAAAGATTGTCAGTAGAGGTTAGGTAAAGGAATGATGACTCAAGGCTGGGCACAGTGGCTCATGCCTGTAGCCCCAGCACTTTGGGAGGCCAAGATGGGAGGATCCCTTGAGCCCAGGAGTTTGAGACCAGCCTGGACAATATAGCAAGACCCCATCTCTGCAAAAAAAAAGATGTAAAAGTTAGCCAGACGTGGTGGCTCTCGATGGTGGACCTCAACTATGGCCCCAGCTACATGGGAAGCTGATGGAGGAGGATCACTCAGGCCTGGGAAGTCGAGGCTGCAGTGAGCTGTGATCGCCACTGCACTCCAGCCTCAGTGGCGTTGTTTGAGCTCCTGAATCTAGCTGTGCCTGAAACATGAAGAGCTCCTAGAGTTTTTTCAGTTCAGTGAGTCTATAAATTCCCTTTTTCTTTGAAGCTAGTTTGAGTCGATTTCTACAATTTACAAGTGAAAGAATCCTGATTCATTAAAAAGGAAAGTAAACTGACTCAGTGGGAAGTCCTAGATCCAGGGGCCACAGCTGGAGCATGGCTGGCCATGGCTGGAGCATGGCATGGATTGAGAGGGTATCTCGGCCTCAGACGTGCACCCTGCCAGGCTGCCTAACCACTCAAGTCACATCTTCAGGACCTTCTCAGAAAGATGAGCTTTTATCTGGGGTGAGGGGTGACCCCAAACCCAATTACGGCACTAAAAATGATTCATGTGGCTGGGTGCAGTGGCTCACACTTGTAATCCCAGCACTTTGGGAGGCTGAGGCAGGCGGATCACAAAGTCAGAGATCAAGACCAGCCTGGCCAACATGGTGAAACCCTCTCTCTACTAAAATAGAAAAAATTAGCCAGGCGTGGTGGTGCGCACCTGTAGTCCCAGGTACTCGGGAGGCTGAGGCAGGGGAATCACTTGAACCCAGGAGGCACAGGTTGCAGTAAGCCAAGATCACACCACTGCACTCCAGCCTGGGCAACAGAGGTAGACTTCATCTTAAAAAAAAAAAAGGGGGGGGGGCGTGGCCAGGCGTGGTGGCTCACGCCTGTAATCCCAGCACTTTGAGAGGCCAAGGCGGGCGGATCATGAGGTCAGGAGATCGACACCATCCGGGCTAACATGGTGAAACCCCGTCTCTACTAAAAATACAAAAAATTAGCCTGGCGTGGTGGCGGGCACCTGTAGTCCCAGCTACTCAGGAGGCTGAGGCAGGAGAATGGTGTGAACCCGGCAGGCGGAGCTTGCAGTGAGCCGAGATCGCGCCACTCCACTCCAGCTTGGGTGACAGTGTGAGACTCCATCTCAAAAAAAAAAAAAATTCAGGCATCATCAGGTCCAGCCCAAGAAACAACCCCAGCAGACAGTGCCAGGGGCAAGAGTTGGGAGGATGAGTCAAAACAGGCATCCAAGCTCTACGCCTTAAATCTCTTCCTATTTCTTCTGTGAAGTGAGGGAACTGATCTGGAAGGTCTGGGGTGCTGGGGTGGTCCTACTTTCTTTATACCTCTGCCTCCCTCTGTTCCAGTTTTAGTCCTTGTGGCAGCAAGGTGGTCATCAGTGGCCCAGATCAACACTCTATGGAGACAGAGCTTCCCTGTCTCAGTGGTTCCAGCCCAGTTCCCATGATGTCATGTCACTGACCTGACCTAGGTCACACACCCATACTTGAGCCAGGCGCTGTGGTCGGGCGATGGAATGCTATGTCATTTTGAGGAAAGGGACACTAACTGCCCACCTCCCCTGAGGTAATTCAAAAGTGGATTACCTCTGCCAGGGGCACGGTGGCTCATGCCTGTAATCCCAGCACTTTGGGAGGCTGAAGTGGGTAGATCGCTCGAGCCCAGGAGTTCGAGACTAGCTATGGACAATATGGTGAAATCCCACCTCTACAAAAAAAATACAAAAATTAGCTGGGCGTGATGGCCCATGCCTGCAGTCCCAGCTACTTGGGAGGCTGAGGTGGGAGGATCACTTGAGCCTGGGAGGTGGAGGCTGCAGTGAGCCGAGATTGCACCACTGCACTCCAGCCTGGGCAACAGAGTGAGACCCTATCTCAAAAAAAAGAATTAAATAAAGGAGATTAATTCTACTTTTATCTGGTTTCTCTATTGGAGCTTCACTTGAAGAGTGATTCCACTGCTAACTAATATACTTGGAAACCCATTGGCACCTCCTGCTCTGACACTGTGGGATTTTCGGACAATGTGAACTTGGATGTGTGGCCACGCTGGGTGGAACCATCCAGGAAATATGCAAAACAGAGGAAAAGTTAAGCTCCTGAGCAAGACCTGGTTCAAACCTTGCCTCTACCATGCGCTTGTTGGGTGACCTTGAATCCTTTTCCCTCTCTGACCCTCGGCTTCCTCATCTTTAGTAAAATGGAGGTGCTAATACCTTCCTCTCAGTGTGTGCCTGAATCCTGACTACTCCAGAGCCACGGGAGGTGCTGGGGAAGCCCACGTTGCTGTTATTGATGACATTATTGTTCATTGTATGCAGGCTACAGAATGTACCTTCAGAGGTGCTCTCTGACCCTGCTGTGTGTGGGATGATTTGGGATGGGGAGGAGTCCCAGGCCGACATTCTCTTTTGAATCTTGGAGTCCTCCGAGGTCCGGGGAGGGCTGTGCAGGCTGCCCTAAGCTCCAAGTGCCGCCAAGCAGAGGTCAGGCCCCTGGCTGAAGCCGTCCTGAACATTGGGACACCTGGAACCCTGGGACGTGGGTTCGGGGGCCCAGATCAGGTGACTCGACAGCGCTGCGTCTGAAACCCTCTGAGCTTGCAGTCCGGTAACCTGACACCGCAGGCTCTGACTTCCCAGCGGGCCAGGACTGCGGAGGGGGAAAGGGCGACTGCCCCGCTACACGGGGACCCCTCCCCTGCCCTGGTCTCCTAGGCCCCCTTCTCTGCGCCCTGTCCCCAGAGTGCACACCCCCAGGGGCTCCTGTGTTTCGGGGCTAAAGCACCCCTTTCCACGCAGGGGTTGGGGGCTGTGGGTGGTGCCTTCTCGGGGCCCAAGTCCAGAGCCCTGCCCCGGGTGGCAGAAGGAACGGAGGGAGGCACAAATGGGAAACCTGAAGGGGGCGAAGGGGAAGGCGGAAGCCCCGTGCGAGCGTGAAAGGTGAAGTGCAGGGAAAGGGCGCCCCCGCGGGAGGGGGACGGGGTTCCCCCAAAGCCTGACGGCTCGCACAGGGTCCCCGTCGCCCATCTCTTTGGAGAGCCGCAGAGACCCGGCGCGGGGACGCGGGGTGGTGGGGACCGGAGGGGGTGGTGGGGACCAGGCAGCCGGCGCCCCTCCGCCCACCCGGGCCCCGCAGCCTCAGCCCGGGACGAAACTTTGGGCCCGCGCCCCGCTGCTTCCCGCGCCGGCCGGGCCTCGGGGTTCGCTCCCGCATTAGGCCCCGCGCCGCCCGGCGCCCACTCACCAGCGCACCAGCTGCCAGCGCTTCTCCCCCGGCGCCCGGCGGCCCGCCATGCCTCGCCCGGCCGCTCCCTGCCCTCCGCGGGCCGCACGGTGGAGGAGGCTCGGCTGCCGCAGGCGGGTGTCCGGGGCGCGCTCGCGGGGAGGGCGCGGGGAGGGCGCGGGGAGGGCGCGGGGAGGGCGCGGCGCTCAGACCCCGCCCCTGGAGGCGGCTGGAGCCGGGTCAGCGCCGGCCCCGCAGAACGGGCGGGACAGCGGCCTCTCCCCGTCCGGGTCTCTCCCCGCCGCGCCGAGGAGCCGGGTTTCTGGGGAGCACTGGGCGGAGTCTGGTTCCCCGAGTCCTACTGACGCGCGGAGAGACCAGGCGGCCCATTGCCTCGTTCTGTGCCTTACTCCCTTAGGAAACCCGTTCTACCCAGGAAGTGATGCCTAAAGAAGTAAACTACTCGGCCGGGCGCGGTGGCTCACGCCTGTAATCCCAGCGCTTTGGGAGGCGGAGGTGGGCGGATCACGAGGTCAAGACGATCGAGACCAACCTGGCCAACATGGTGAAACCCCGTCTCTACTAAAAATAGAAAACTTAGCGGGGCGTGGTGGCGCCTGCCTGTAATCCCAGCTACTCGGGAGGCTGAGGCAGGAGAATCGCTTGAACCGGGGAGGCGGAGGTTGCAGTGAGCAGAGGTCGCGCCATTGCACTCCAGCCTGGGCAACAGGGCAAGACTGTCTCAAAAAAAAAAAAAAAAAAAAAAAAAGAAAGAAAAGAAAAAAACGTGGATAAGTATTGTCATTATATTAAAGTGAGGATAGGTTTTTTTTTTTTAGCATGACATCAGTGGCAGAAGCCATAAAGGAAGAGATTAATGGATTTGGCTAAAATAAAAATGTTTAATATCTGCACATCACAAAAACACAATAAGCAAAATTAAAAGGCTAATGTCAGCCAGGTGTGGTGGTATATGCCTGTAGTCCCAGCTACTTAGGAGTCTGAGGCAGGAGGATCACTTGAGCCAGGAGTTCAAGTCTGTTGAGTGCTATAAACATACCTGGGAATAGCCGCTGCCACTCCAGCCTGGGCAACATAGCAAGACCCGGTCTCTAAATATATATATAAAATATATATATATATATATGTCAAATGTCAAACTGGTTTAAAAAATGTGTGCCCCATGCGTGGTGGCTCATGCCTGTAATCCCAGCACTTTGGGAGGCCGAGGCAGGTGGATCACGAGGTCAGGAGATGGAGACCATCCTGGCCAACATGGTGAAACCCCCTCTCTACTAAAAATACAAAAAATTAGCCGTGCGTGGTGGCGGGCGCCTGTAGTCCCAGCTACTCGGAAGGCTGAGGCAGGAGAATGGCGTGAACCTGGGAGGCAGAGGGCAGAGCTTGCAGCGAGCCGAGATCGCGCCACTGCACTCCAGCCTGGGCGACAGTGCGAGACTCCGTCTCAAGAAAAAAAAAAGAAAAGAAAAGAAAGTGTGCCCCGTGTTCATGGCAGCATTATTCACAATAGCCAACAGGTGGAAGCAACCTAAATGTTCACTGATGGATGAATGGATAAACAAAATGTGGTATATATATATACGGCCGGGCGCGGTGGCTCACGCCTGTAATCCTAGCACTTTGGGAGGCCGAGGCGGGCAGATCACGAGGTCAGGAGATCGAGACCATCCTGGCCAATATGGTAAAACCCCATCTCTACTAAAAAATACAAAAATTAGCCTCCACCTCCTGGATTCAAGCGATTCTCCTGCCTCAGCCTCCCGAGTAGCTGGGATTACAAGCACCCACCACCACACCTGGCTAATTTTTGTATTTTTAGTAGAGACGAGATTTCGTCATGTTGGCCAGGCTGGTCTCAAACTCCTGACCGCAAGTGATCTGCCCACCTTGGCCTCCCAAAGTGCTGGGATTACAGGTGAGAGCCACCGGGCCCAGCCAAATTGTCCATTTTAAATGTGCCATCTGTTCCCTGCCAGGATGCTAACCAATACAGAACTGTTACCCAAACTAAACTGAGAAAGTCAGAATTTCTGACTGTCATGAAGAGATGGAGGAGACTCTAGGCCTTCTCTGCCACCCAGGCCTCATTCCTCTAGCTGGCATTCCAGGCCTTGCACACTTTGGCCCTTACCTTCCCTTTAAGCTATGACCACTGTGGCTGCCACAGCTGGACTCATGTTCTCTCTGGCAGGCGTGAGGATGCTGTGGTTACAAGCTTGTCTCTGGGCCAGGCTGGGCTGGAGTTTGAATCCTGGCTCTGCCATTTCCAAGCTGTGTGATGTTAAATTCAACCTCATTCTCTCCATCTGAAAATGGGAATAAACCTTTCCAATACGATTTATCTGAAGTTTAAATGAGATCCCATTGGTAAAGTGCTCAACTCAAAGTAATCGTGGCTTCGGAAGCAAGAGGTACACTTTTTCTAAACTTTAGTTTTCTTTTACTTTGTTACAAGTTTAATTTTGGAAATGGAGCCAGGGTGTGGCACCGTGGCTAATCCCAGCAAAGCGCTGTCATCTCAGCACTTTGGGAGGCCAAGGCAGGTAGATCACTTGAGCCCAGGAGTTCAAGATCAGCCTGGGCAACAGGGTGAAACCCCATCTCTACAAAAAACTACAAAAATTAGCCAGGCATGGTGGCACACGCCTGGAGCCCAGCTACTTGGGAGGCTGCGGTGGGAGGACCTGAGCTCAGGAGGTGGAGGCTGCAGTGAGCTGTGTTTGCACGACTGCACTCCGTCCTGGACAACAGACTGAGACCCTGTCTCAAAAATAAAAAGAAAAGAAAAGAGAGCTGGGCGCAGTGGCTCACTCCTGTAATCCTAGTGCTTTGGGAGGCTGAGGCTGGAGGATCACTTGAGCCCAGGAGTTCGAGGCTTTGGTCAGCTATGATTGCACCACTGCACTCCAGCCTGAGCAGCAGAGCCAGGGCCTGTTTCTAAAAAAAAAAAAGGAAAAGGAAAAAAAAGAAAGTAGAAAAAAGGCCAGGCACAGGGGCTCACACCTGTAATCCCAGCACTTTGGGAGACCGAGGTGGGCAGATCCACTTGAGGTCAGGAGTTCGAGACCAGCCTGGCCAATATGGCAAAACCCTATCTCTACTGAAAACACAAAAATCAGCTGGGCGTGGTGGCATACGTCTATAATCCCAGCTACTCGGAAGGCTGAGGTAGGAGAACTGCTTGAACCCAGGAGGTAGAGGTTTCCGTAAACTGAGATCACTCCACTGCACTCCAGCCCGGGTGACAGAGCTAGACTCCATCTCAGAAAAAAAAAAAAAAAAAGGGCCGGGCTTCGTGGCTCACGCCTGTAATCCCAGCACTTTGGGAGGCCAAGGTGGGCAGATCACTTGAGGTCAGGAGTTCAAAACTAGCCTGGCCAACATGGTGAAACTCCATCTCTACTAGAAATACAAAAATTAGCCGGGCCTGGTGGTGCGTGCCTGTAATCCCAGCTACTTGGGAGGCTGAGGCAGGAGAATCACTTGAACCCAGGGGGCAGAAGTTGCGGTGAGCTGAGATCATGCCACTTCACTCCAGCCTGGGCGAAAGAGTGAGACTCCACCTTAAATAAATAAATAAATAGATAAATAAATAAATAAAAGACAGAGTTCCAGGATTCATCCTGACACAGATCAAAGAGAAGAACATTTGAGACTTGGTGATAACAATTCTATCCATGTGCACTTTATCAGCCCCTTCACTTGTACCTTAAGACAGCCTCACAAGGATCCTGTTGGCAGAGTCAATGTTACTCTTCCCATTTAACTGAGAAGGAACTGGAGCTCTGAGAGGCTGAGTCTTGCCCAGAATTACCCAAGTAGTAAGTAACAGAGCTGGGGCCAGAAGCCAGGTTTTCAGGCTCCTTCATATCACCTGTTTTTGGAGATACAAAACATACCTTTCATCATTCTTACCGATATCTCATGAAATGGAGGGAATATGGATGGTTCATCAGAACTCACACTGCTGCTGGAGATACTGATATGCAGGTCCAAGGAGCACAGTCCAGGAATACTGCCCTCTAGGAAGGACAGCAAGAGACAGGAAGAGGGGTGAGGCTGGCCTTTCTGTTCCTCTCCCAAGGATTTCCTCAGACAGGATGAAGAGGGGCCACCCACAGTGCAGCTAGTAGCTAGAGTTCCTGCAGGGTGGGATTTGAGAGGCCTTTGAACAAAATTCAAACCCCGCAGCCTGTCAAGCCACCTAAGACAGTCATTCCTGCAACTCTCTGTTTGTTTGTTTGTTTGTTTGTTTGTTTTGAGATGGAGTCCCACTCTATCACCCAGGCTGGAGTGCAGTGGTGTGATCTTGGCTGACCGCAACCTCTGCCGCCCAGGTTCAAGCGGTTCTCCTGCTTCAGCCTCCTGAGTAGCTGGGATTACAGGCACCTGCCACCACGCCCGACTAATTTTTGTATTTTTAGTAAAGACAGGGTTTTATCATCTTGGTCAGGCTGGTCTTGAATTCCTAACCTCATGATCCACCCACCTCAGCCTCCGAAAATGCTGGGATTAGAGCCGTGAGCCACTGAGCCTGGCCCCTGCAACTCTTTAGGATTAGAATTTTCCAGGAGCAGCTAAAGCTTTTTAGTTGTTGACACCTGAGTCCAGTTAACCTTTGGAAAGTGGGGAGGACAGGGAGGAAAGGGACCCATAGAGAGGCAGGGTGCCCCTTGAGGCCTCCCCAGGGCCTCTGTGGCAAGTAGGTGCCGGGTCTCCCAGCTCTGAAGGTACAGGGCTTCTCTGAAAATTTGGTCCAGGAGGAAAGGCCAGGGATTATTTGGCTAGCCATGGAGTGGGGAAAGCCAGGCACCAACCCATTAGCCTGAATCCACTCAGCCCAGTCCTCCAGGCAGGGACAGGAATGACTTACCCAGAGCAATCTCTGAGCCACCTGCCACTCACACAATGCTACCTCATCCCTTGTCATGAGCACAGAGGCCTAACAAGCACTCAGCAGTACTGTTCTGAGCACTTTACAGGAAGGAATTCATTTAATCCTCACAACAACCCGAAGATCTTATGAGCTACATAGATCATCATTATCCTCATTTACAGATGAGACCAAGCCCCCGGCAGGAGGAAGATATTAGGGCAGCCACACTTTTGAGGCACACAGTGGGACTCCTGAAGCCTCCCACGTTTGGTGAAAACGGATCAACAGCAATGCCTCGCACGTGTTCTGAACTTTGGAGTTTTTTTGTTTATTTGTTTTTGACATAGAGTCTCGCTCTGTCACACAGGCTGGAGTGCGGTGGCACGATCTTGGCCACTGCAACCTCTGCCTCCCAGGTTCAAGCGATTCTCCTGCCTCAGCCTTCCGAGTAGCTGGGATTAGAGGCGCCCGCCACTCCCGGCTAATTTTTGTAGTTTTAGTAGAGATTGGGATACATACACCATGTTGGCCAGGCTGGTCTCGAACTCCTGACTTCAGGTGATCCGCCCGCCTCGGCCTCCCAAACTGCTGGCCTCACAGGCGTGAGCCACTGCGCCCGGCCTGAACTTTGGAGTTTATCAAGAATCTTCCCTTGGCTCTTGGGACCCTCATAGAACTTAAAGCATAATAATAATAATAAAAGAATTTTAGAAATAGGGCATCTTATCAACTGCGGCCCAGAGAGGTGATGTGACTCACCCAAGGCCACACAGCTAGTGAGAGGTCTGGGGCAGGTTTGCTGCTGCCTAGACACGGGACGGATTCCCAGCCCACTGGTCAGATCGCGCTTCGCCCCAAGCCTTGCCTGCGCGGCTGCGGGCGCTGCCTCTCCTTCCTACGCCAGGGCGGGAGGGGCGGAGCGGATCGCGGCCTGGCGGCCTGGGCGCTGTCCGCGGTGCTGATCCTTCGCCGCGCCCCTGCGCGCCAAGGCACCGGCGGGTTCCCCAGTTTGCCCTTCCAGCTACCAGCCAAAGCCAGCTCCGCGAGCCCAGCGGCCCGCTGGGGGCCTCAGGCCCGGTTCCCGGGGCTCTCGGGGCTCCCGGGGTTCCCCCTCCCCCCGACCGCGCGCCGCCGGCCTCCCCTCCCCCCGCCCCGCCCACGGCCCCTCCCCGCCCGTCTCAGGTCCCTCCCCTCCCCCTTTCTCTCTCCCGCCCCCCGCACCCCTCCGGCTCGTTCGCCAGTTCCGGTCACGTTGCTGGGTGTTTACGCCTCGAGCCCGCCCCCGACCCCCCTTCGGCGCCCCCGAGCCCCCCGGAGCCCCGGCCCGACTGCCCCGCAGCCTCCCAGCAGCTGATGGCGCCGCAGCCGGGGCGGGCGCTGCAGATCCCCGGGCGCAGCTAGCGTGGGGGGAAGAGCGCCGCCCCCACCCAGCCCGGCCCGGACCCAGGGCCCCGCCGGCCGGTGACTCCCAGGTCCCGAAGGTGAGGAGGCCGGTCGGTGGGCGTGGGGGGTGTGGGCGCCGGAGCGGCCCCAGGGGGGAGCAGCGCGGCCAAGCTCCAGCTCCCCCGGGAGGGCTGGCGCGGGGCTGGGCACCGCAGCGCGCGGGAGGCGGACAGGACTCGCGGCGGGCTGCTGGCAGAAGTTGTCCTCCACCGCCCAGACCCGGGCCCTGCCTGGCACTGCCGGGCGTCCAGAGCGGCCCGAGGTCGAGCCCCGCCACCTCCCGCCACGCACACCTTTATTTCTGCTGCCTTTGCCCTCCTCTCTGCTACCTCGCTTCCCCGTCCTCCTTAGTCTCCACATCCCCCCCCCAACCCCTGCCTTCCCTGGGAGTCATATTGGAGGCATAATCAGGGCAGAACCTGAAGCCTGAAGGGGGTGGGGGGCTCCAGTTTCCCCATACACCCCATTCCCGTGTGACTGGATCCTCAGCTTTGCTGAGGTGGAGGGTCCTGAGCGCTTCAGTGCAGGGGGCAGCCAGAGTTGAGGGGTTCGGCGGGGAGGGGCTCCGGAGTGGAGAGGACCACAAGGTCCCTGGGGAGTGTGGCTCCACCACTGGCCAAGCGGCCCCACCTTGCAGACAGAGTCCTAGACATTTGTCAAAGGCTGAATCCTTGTTCCAAACTCCAGTCCCCAGGAAAGCCAAGGATGTGGGGTTGAGGGACCAGCATACTTATTTTTTAATATGTGTATTTACTTGCCCTGGTGATTCCCAGTAAGACTCAATCCATTCTCCCTGTTTCAGCAGCATTCATTGTGGGCCTGTTCCTTGCAAGAGATTCCCAGAGACAAAGCCTTGCCCTCAGGAAGCGTATGGCTTAGTACAGAAGCCAGGTGCATTCAGGCACATGCACACACACACACACACACACACACACACACACAAACACGATGAAGACTTATGGCTTTGCACGGAAGCCAGGTGCGTGCAGGCATGCGTGCACACACACACACACACAGAACAAAGAGTGATAATATGGCAGACTGTGGTGCTAGCTGCCACCCAGATTCCAACAAATTGCCTGGGGAACAGAGAGGCGGGAGAGAGTCGTTCCATCTTGGTGGGGGATCAGGGATGGCTTCATGGTAAAAGTCACATCAGAGCAAGGCCCTGAAGGATGGGTCAGGCTTCAAGAGGCAGAGATAGGGTGGATATAGTAAGTGAGGGGATGGCCTGGCTACTGGGCTACTGGAAGAGTTTGTCATCAGAGCAGCAAGAGATAGAATCCAAAAGAGAAGAAGATCAGCCTGCAGATGTGGACTGCTAAATGCAGGCTGATCTTCTCCCCTTTGGGATTCTCTTATGAGAAGCCATAAACGCCAGGACGAGCACCCAGTGGGGTGCTTCTAGTTGCCAGGCACTGTAGTTGCAGATACTGAGCAAACTACTTTACCTTTCTAAGCCTGTCTCCTCATCGATAAAGTGGATACATTAATAGAATCTTCAACGTGGGGTTGTTGCCAAGATAAATGAGTTAATATATGTAAAATGCTAAGAACAGTACCAATTACTTATTATTATAAGTATTATTATTTATGCATTGATGCCATGTCCAAGAAAGGCTTCTTGAGTTCCTGCTTTCCGACTGCCCCAGGCCTCTGAGTCAGGCCATGAACAGGAATAATGACTAAGAAACATAAACCTCATATTGATTATTTCTTTTGAGATAGAGTTTTGCTCTTATTGCCCAGGTTGGAGTGCAGTGGTGCGATCTCAACTCACTGCAACCTCTGCCTCCCAGGTTGAAACGACTCTCCTGGCTCAGCCTCCCGAGTAGCTGGTACTACAGGTGCGTGCCATCATGCCCTGCTAATTTTTGTATTTTTAGTAGAGATGGGGTTTTGCCATGTTGGCCAGGCTGGTCTCAAACTCCTGACCTCAGGTGATCTGCCCCAGTCGGCCTCCCAAAGTGCTGGGATGACAGGCGTGAGCCACCGCACCTGACCTGATTCATTTATTTGTTCACTTATCGCCATGCTTGTCCTATCTAATATACCCGCGCTGACTATAAGAATAATAAAAATAAGTCTAACATTCTCCTTAAAACAAGAAAACATACATACTTAAAGAACTTTAAGAAAACATGGCTATTGACTGTTAAGAACAACACAAAGATATCTGTTGACTTGATAAATATTTTCAGTCCCAAACAGAAAAGAAACACTAGGAAAAGCTGAAACTGGGACAAGAGAACCCGCCAGTGAGTGAGGGGTGGCAGACAATGCAAACCCCAGGCAAGCAGGTCACAAGAAGTGTGGGGTCTGGTTCCTCTTCCAGCGACCTCCTCTGCTTGAGGGAAAGAAAGAGGTGGCAGAGGCCAGGGGACCTGGAGCAGACAAAAAGGGTGTGGGGAAGGTGAGATTTAGATACCCAAGGAAATATTGGACTGTAAAAGAGGTTTTCAAACTGCTGGTTAGCAGGCCAGGCGCTGTGGCTCACATCTGTAGTCCCAGCCCTTTGGGAGGCTGAGGCGGATGGATCACCTGAGGTCAGGAGTTCAAGACCAGCCTGTCCAACATGGTGAAACCCCGTCTCTACTAAAAATACAAAAAATAGCTGGGTGTGTTGGGTGGGTGCCTGTAATTCCAGCTACTCGGGAGGCTGAGGCAGAAGAATTGCTTGAACCCAGGAGGCGGAGGTTGCAGTGAGCCAAGATCGAGCCACTGCACTCCAGCCTGGGCGACAGAGGAGACTCCGTCTCAAAAAAACAAACAGCTGAAGCAGGGAGAGAACTGTAGTTTCCCACTTGCCAAGTCAGTTGTAACTGGGTAGGGAAGTGGGTACCCAGAATCTCCAGAAACAAGCAGGAAGAGAGGTCATTTTCAGGGATCAGGAGCCCGGACCTCAGAGAGTCCCAACTGTGCCAGGGTCAGAAGGTTCCTGAGTCTGACACTCTACCCGTGTTTGGGGACCTGAGCACAGAAGCCTTCTCCACCAACTTCCCCAAAGGGAAAAGTATTTGTAACTTTCAGACACATCAGAGACATGTTAAAAGTACTTGGAATTAATCCTATAAATTGTGAACCTTGTGTTAGGGTCTTTTTAATATTTTTGGTAACAATTTTTTTAAATGAATATTTTTTCATCAAGCTAGAAAATTAACAGGAAAGGCTGGGCGCGGTGGCTCACACCTGTAATCCCAGCACTTTGGGAGTCCGAGGCAAATGGATCACTTGAGGTCAGGAGTTCGAGACCAGCCTGGCCAACATGGCAAAACCACGTCTCTACTAAAAATACAAAAATTAGCCAGGCGTGGTGGTGGGCACCTATAATCCCAGCTACTTGGGAGGCTGAGGCAGGAGAATCGCTTGAATCGGGGAGGCGAAGGTTGCAGTGAGCCGAGATTGTGCCATTGCACTCCAGCCTGGGCAACAAGAGCAAAACTCCATCTCGGGGGGAAAAAAAAGAAGGAGAAGGAGAAGGACAAGGGGAAGAGAAAATTAACAGGAAAAAGAACTCAGAGAACCAGAAGAAGGAGGGAAGCAGAAACAATGCAGGCTCTGAGGTGCTCAGGACAGTGGACAGAGGAGTGTGACCTCTTCCCCGAGTGTGTTCACTCAGGAGGCTGGACATCTAGTGCTGTGTCGGGGGGAAAGATGGAGCTGACAGCTCCAGCCCTTCAGCTACTGTTACTGGCCTGGGTCAAGTCCTCGGGCATGAGCTTCTGAAGGCCAGATGTTCCAGGACTGCATTTCTGATGGGAAAATCGGACGTTTTCCTGGCTTAGGCCTTCTGAAGTAGTGCCTGCAACTCCCCAGCCAGACAGAGAGATTTTTGTTGTCACTAGTTCCCTTCCCCACTCTATCTCCCACCCTCCCCCAAACAAACTAAACAATAACGTCTAAGAAAGAATATTTGCCAAGATCGTTTGTGACCCAAATTTCCTCCCTGAGAAAAGCAGCCTGCCTAGTTGGAAGCAAATACTCAAGTCGTTCTGGGAAAGCACAGAAACAGCTGGTTGGCTCAGTCTCTCACGGTGGCCAGGGTCCAGTCTCCAGAGCTGTGTGGGAAGGGTTTTTACTCTTCAGAAACATTTGCATTTCAGTGGCTGGGAACAGACGTTTCTCTCTTTATCCTAAGAACAGGCCCACACACCTTCATCCTCCAGATGTGCGCACAGCAGACACACAGCAGCAAAGAGAATCGGGAAACACACACACGTACTCCTTGAGGCACACACGCAGGCTCAGGCACACATACAGATACGCAAGCACACAAACCCTGACATAGACTCACAGTCAGCAGCTCACCTGTTTCTCTTGAGTTATGCACCAGTGTATTATTATGTTTTTATTTTATCTTTTTTTTTTTTTTTTTTTTTTTTGAGACAGGGTCTCACTGTCTGTCACCCAAGCTGGAATGCAGTGGTGCAATCATGGCTCACTGAAGCCTCAAACTCCCGGGCTCAAGTAATCCTCCCACCTCAGCCTCCACGCTGGGACCACAGGCACACGCCACCACGCCCAGCTAATTTTTGTATCTTTAGTAGAGACGGGGTTTCAGGGTTTCACCATGTTTTCCAGGCTGGTCTCAAACTCCTGGGCACACACGATCTGTTCACCTCTGTCTCCCAAAGTTCTGGGATTATAGGCATGAGCCACTGAGCCTGGTTGCACCAGTATATTGACCTGCCTACTTGACATCTATTTCTCCTTGTTTGAGGTCTCTTGGGTATATCACCCCTAACACATGGCATCTTGATCTTACCTTGTGTCAATCTGCTTCTCCATCAGTCTACCCCATCCCCACAACTTCACCCACTCTAAAGATGTTTACTGAGTACTTCCTGTTTGCCACATACTGTGCTAGGTACTAAGGAAAAGGAGGAACCAAAGCAATGTCCTTCATCTCAGTTGCTAACAATCTGGCAGGAGAAACAGACAATAAACAAAAACCGGGGGCTGGAAGCAGGAGGTCATGCCTGTAATCCCAGCACTTTTGAGATGCCAAAGCCGGAAGACTGCTTGAGACCAGGAGTTCGAGGTCAGCCTGGGCAACCTAGTGAGACTCTGGTCTCTACAAAAACAAAAATAAAAATAAAAATAAAAAAAATTTAGGCCGGGTGCAGCGCAGTGGCTCACGCCTGTAATCCCAGCACTTTTGAGATGCCAAAGCTAGAAGATTGCTGGAGACTAGAAGTTCGAGGTCAGCCTGGGCAACACAGTGAAACTCTTGTCTCTACAAAATAAAAAATGAAAAAAAAAAATTTAGGCCGGGTGCAGCGCCGTGGCTCACACCTGTAATCCCAGCACTTTGGGAGGCTGAGGTGGTTGGATCACGAGGTCGGGAGTTTGAGACCAGCCTGGCCAACATGGTGAAACCCCATCTCTGCTAAAAATACAAAAATTAGCTGGGCATGGTGGTGCACACCTGCAATCCCAGCTACTCGGGAGGCTGCGGCAGGAGATTTGCTCGAACCCGGGAGGTGGAGGTTGCGGTGAGCTGAGATCGCGCCATTGCACTCCAACCTGGGCAACAGAGCCAGACTCCATCTCAAAAAAATAAAAAAAAATACATAAAAATAAAAAGTTAATATATTCATGTGGTAATACATTCACGGAAGAAAAAATAATGCAGATTAAGGGAATGCAGAGTAACAAAAGCTTCTATTTTAAATTGGGTGATGAGAGCAAGTCCCTGAGGAGCTGACATTTGGAGAGTCCTGAATGAAGGAGGGGAATAGGCCTTGAGGAGATCTTGGTGAAGGGCATTCCTGGCAGAGGGGACAGCATGTACAAAGTCCCCGAGGCAAGAGTGTGCTGGGCACATTCAGGAAGAAGCAAGGTCGGAGTGGCTGGGGTGGAACCAGCAGGATGAGGACAGAGGGAGCCAGGGAAGACTGTGCAAGGGCTCATAAGAACTTTGGGTTTGTTTTAAATGTGATGGAAAGCCACACAGAGGATTTTGAGTGGGGTTTGGGGAGACATGATCAGACTTATATTTGTTTTTGTTATTGTTTTGAGACGGAGTCTCGCTCTGTCACCCAGGCTGGAGTGCAGCAGTGAGATCTCGGCTCACTGCAACCTCTGCCTCCCGGGTTCAAGAGATTCTCCTGCCTCAGCCTCCCAAGTAGCTGGGACTACAGGCATGTGCCACTATGCCCGGCTAATTTTTTGTATTTTTCTTAGAGACAGGGTTTCACCATGTTGGCCAGGCTGGTCTCGAACTCCTGACCTTGGGTGATCCTCCCGCCTCGGCCTCCCAAAGTGCTGGGATGACAGGCGTGAGCCACCGTGCCTGACCCGACTTATATTTGTTAAAGGAATTCTGGCTCCTGCATGGAAAACAAGGGGCAAGAATGGAAGTGAGATGACAGTCAGGAGCCTACTGCAATGGTACACCAGAAGGATGTTTTTGGCTTGGACTTGGGTGATGACGATGGAGATAGTGAGAAGTGACTGGCTTTGGGATATGTTTTTTGAAGGTAGAGCAAACAGGATTTGCAGATGGATTGACTATGGAATATAAAGAAAGAGAGGAATCAAACATGACTCCCAAGTTTTGGCCTGAGCAACAGAATGAGTGGGCAAACAGCAATGTGGTTTATCAAGATGGCGAACAGTGGTCAAGACCTGGTTTGCAGAAGGGAATGCAAGTTCAGTATTGGGACTTGAAAGTTTGAGGGATATCCTCACTGAATATCCAAATGGAGGTGTTAGGTCATCAGTCTAGCAGCCAGGGAAGAGTTATTTTGGCGGTCAATAGCATATAAATAGTATTTACAGCCATGGGATGGGACAAGAACACCCAGGGAGTGATTATAGATAAAGAAGAGATTCATGGTGAAAGAGGATGAAATGGGGAAAGATCTAGCAAATATGCCTTCATTCTTGGGTTGCTTAAGCTGGAAAACTGGAGATATCTTAGCCATCCCCCTCCCTATCATCATGAATTAATCCAATCCATCTCCAAGTCCTGCCAGTCCTACCACTAAAATACACCTAGGACCACTCTCCGCCTTCACCTCCATCATCTCATCCAGGCCACCATCACCTGGCACCTTGACCACTGCTTTATTCTTCCAGCTGACCTCCCCACATCCACTCTGTTGGCTCTAGATTGCTCTCCCCACAGCCGCCAGAGTGATACTTTAAAAATGCAAAGGATAGCCTGGGCAACATAGTGAGACCCCATCTCTACAAAAGTGAAAAATTAGCCGGGCACGGGGGCACGAGCCTGTGGTCCCAGCTCCTTGGGAGGCTGAGGTAGAGTCTCAGCATGAACCTGGGAGTTGGAGGCTGCAATGAGCCATCATTACACCACTGCATTCCAGCCTGGGTGACAGAGTGAGATCCCGTCTCAAAAAAAATAAAAAATGCAAATCATATCATGTTCTTCCACTGCTTAAAATCCTTTAAGAACTTCCAAATTTACTTAATATTAAATGTTCTTTTTTTTTTTTTTTGAGATGGAGTCTTGCTCTGTCGCCCAAGCTGGAGTGCAGTGGCGTGATCTCGGCTCACTGCAACCTCCGCGTCCTGGTTTCAAGAGATTCTCCTGGCCGGGCGCGGTGGCTCACGCCTGTGATCCCAGTACTTTGGGAGGCTGAGGCAGGCGGATCACGAGGTCAAGAGATTGAGACCATCCTGGCTAACACGGTGAAACTCCATCTCTACTAAAAATACAAAAAATTAGCCAGGCGCGGTCGTGGGCCCCTGTAGTCCCAGCTACTCGGGAGGCTGAGGCAGGAGAATGAGGCGAACCCGGGAGGCAGAGCTTGCAGTGAGCCGAGATCACACCACTGCACTCCAGCCTGGGCGACAGAGCGAGACTCCATCTCAAAAAAAAAAAAAAAGAGATTCTCCTGCCTCGGCCTCCCAAGTAGCTAGGACTACAGGTGGACACCTCAACGCCTGGGTAGTTTTTGTATTTTTAGTAGAGACACAGGATTTTGCCATGTTGGCCAGGCTGGTCTCGATCTCCTGACCTCAGGTGATCTGCCCGCCTTGGCCTTCCAAAGTGCTGGGATTACAGGCGTGAGACCCCGCACCCAGCCCAAAAGTTCTTAACATGGTTTTCAAGACGCCATGTGAACCTACTCTTGCTAACCTTCCTTCCTGCGACCCTCCTTCAGTACCTTTCACCTCAGCCCTTACTAGCAGCGGCAATGTCTGTTTCTCAGACAGACCACGTGAAGCACTTAGCAGAAAGTTTGAGACATAGTAAGCGTTCTGTAAATGTAAGCTATCATTGTGATCACTTACTTCTTTCCTACCTCTGTGCCTTCACAGATGCTGTTCCCTGTTGGAGGTGCTCTTCCCTTCATTCTTCTAAGTCCTACCCCTCCTTCAAGTCTGTATTAGTTTTTTATCGCTGTGTAACAAATTATCATAAACATAGTGGCTTAAAACAACATACATTTATTATCTTACAATGTCTAAGCCCAGGAGTCTGGCTCTTTTTTTTTTTTTTTTTTTTTTTTTTTGAGACAGGGTCTTTGTCTGTCACCAGGACTGAAGTGCAATGGCACAATCATGGCTCACCGCAGACTTGACCTCCTGGGCCCAAGCCATCTTCCCACCTCAGCCTCCCAGTAGCTGGGACTACAGGCCCATGCCACCATGCCTGGCTAATTTTTGTATTTTTGTAGAGACGAGGTTTCATCATGTTGCCCAAAGTGGTGAGATTACAGGTGTGAGCCACTGCGTCTGGCCTTAGTCTACCATTTTTAAACTAGGTCCTCTGCTCGGGGCTCTTATTTTTTTGTTTTTTGTTTTGTTTGTTTTTTGAGATGGAGTCTCACTCAGTCGCCCAGGCTTGAGTGCAGTAGCACGATGTCGGCTCACTGCAACCTCCGCCTCCTGGGTTCAAGTGATTCTCCTGCTTCAGCCTCCTGAGTAGCTGGGATTACAGGCGCCTGTCACCATGCCCAGCTAATTTTTGTATTTTTAGTAGAGACAGTATTTCACCCATGTTGGCCAGGCTGGTCTCGATCTCTTGACCTCAAGTGATCAGCCTGCCTCAGCCTCCCAAAGTGCTGAGATTACAGGCATAAACCACCGTGCCCAGCCTCAGGGTTTTGCCTAATTAGGTCAGGCCCACCCAGAATAATCTCCATTTGATTAAATCAAAGTCAACTGATTGGAGGCCTTAATTACATCTGCAGGATCCCTTTACCTTTGTGTATAGCCTAATCACAGGGGTGAAATCCATCATACGCGCAGGCCCACCCACACTCGAGCAGAGCAGCTGCATACCAGAGGCTGGGAATCTTGGGGACCGTCCTGGAACTCTGCCTGTCACAAGGCAGAAAGTTACAGCCTAAAAGTTACTTCCCCAAAGAGAACTTTCCTCACCTCAAATCTAAAGCAGGTTCCCCTCTTTATTCTTTCACATTACCTTGTAGGTCTCTTTAGTGGCCCTTATCACAGATTGTAATTCTATCCTTATTTGTATTATCTGTTTGACACATTATGTGTTTGATTCTCTTCTCTTCACCCCGTGAGATCCATGAGAGCAGGGACTTCACTGTGTTCGTTACCGTGTTCCCCAAACCCAGGACAGTGCTTGGCAATAGTAGATCACTAAATGAGTGAATGAGAAAGTGAGCAAATCAAGACAGGAATTAACCTACTCAGACATTAAATGGACAGAGAAGAAGAGGAAGAAGGGAGGTAGCATTGACTGAGCTACGTCCTGTGCTAAGCACTTTACATTTCTTTATTCTATCTATCTATCTATCACCTATCTATCTATCTATCTATTTTTTTGAGACGAGTCTTGCTCTGTAGCCCAGGCTGGAGTGCAGTGGCGCAATCTTGGCTCACTGCAAGCTCCACCTCCCGGGTTCACGCCGTTCTCCTGCCTCAGCCTCCTCAGTAGCTGGGACTACAGGCACCCGCCACCACGCCCAGCTAATTTTTTTTGTATTTTTAGTAGAGACAGGGTTTCACTGTGTTAGCCAGGATGGTCTTGATCTCCTGACCTCCTGATCTGCCTGCCTCTGCCTCCCAAAGTGCTGGGATTACAGGCATGAGCCACCGCGCCCAGCCTGTTTGTTTATTTTTATTTTATTTATTTATTTTGAGATGGAGTCTCGCTCTGTCGCCAGGCTGGAGTGCAATGGCGCGATCTCAGCTCACTGCAACCTCTGACTCCCTGGTTCAAACAATTCTCCTGCCTCAGCCTCCCGAGTAGCTGGGACTACAGGCGCCCGCCACCACACCCAGCTAATTTTTTGTATTTTTAGTAGAGATGGGGTTCTACCATGTTAGCCAGGATGGTCTCGATCTCCTGACCTCGTGATCCGCCCACCTTGGCCTCCCAAAGTGCTGGGATTACAGGCGTGAGCCATTGCGCCCGCCCTATTTATTTATTTTTGAGACAGAGTCTTGCTCTATTGCCCAGGCTGGAGTGCAGTGGCTCGATCTCAGCTCACTGCAACTTCTGCCCCCTGGGTTCAAGCGATTCTCCTGGGTCAACCTCCCGAGTAGCTGGGACTTCAGGTGCATGCCACCATGCCCGGCTGATTTTTGTATTTTTAGTACAGACAGGGTTTCACCATATTGGTCAGCCTGGTCTCAAACTCCTGACCTCAGGTGATCCACCCGCCTCAGCCTCCCAAAGTGCTGGGATTACAGGCGTGAGCCACTGTGCCAGGCCTTACATTTCTTTTTTCTTTTTTTTTTTTTTGAGACGAGTCTTGCTCTGTCACCCAGGCTGGAGTGCAGTGGCGCGATCTCAGCTCACTGCAAGCTCCGCCTCCCGGGTTCAGCCATTCTCCTGCCTCGGCCTCTCCGAGTAGCTGGGACTACAGGCGCCCGCCACCACACCCGGCTAATTTTTTATATTTTTAGTAGAGACGGGGTTTCACCGTGGTCTCGATCTCCCGACCTCGTGATCCGCCCGCCTCGGCCTCCCAAAGTGCTGGGATTACAAGCGTGAGCCACTGCGCCCAGCCCAGGCCTTACATTTCTTATCTCATTTAATCCTTACAACTATCCTAGGATGGTAGGATTTGCAGCCCCATCTTACAGGGGGAAGGAAAATGGCTCAGAGAGGTTAATTTTCTTGCCAAAAGTCTCACAGCAGGTAACTGAAAGAGCCATAAATCAGCTGGATCCAGCAGCTCATGCCTGTAATCCCAGCACTTTGGGAGACCAAGGTGGGAGGATTGCTTGAGGCCAGGAGGTGGACACCAGCCTGGGTGTAGAGAACCCTGTCTCTACAAAAAATTTTAAAAATTAGCCAGGCATGGTGGCAGTCACTTGTAGACCTTAGCTACTTGGGAGGCTGAGGTGGAAGGATTGCTTGAGCCCAGGAGTTTGAGGCTGCAGTGAGCTACCATTGCCCCACTGCACTCCAGCCTGGGTGACAGATTCAAACCTAGGACTGTTCCCAGTGTAAATATTCGTGTAAATATTGGGAACCTTCTCTGGATTCGTAAGACTTGGTTGGAGAATTGGCTCTGCCACCCCTTACTGAGCGTGTGAAGCGGTACGAGAGCCCTTTTTTGTGAAGTGGGGTGGGGTGGTAATACCCGCTGAAGAGTGGTTGGCAGAAGTAAGATCATGTGTATAATGTTCCCTGAACATAGCAGATGGTCAGCACATGTAGCCAGCGATCCCCACAGGCCAAAGGGCCACCCCTTGCTGAAATTAAAGGCCTATTTGGATGGCTGGACGCGGTGGCTCACGCCCGTAATACCAGCACTTTGGGAGGCCGAGGCGGGTGGATCACGTGGTCAGGAGATCGAGACCATCCTGGCTAACATGGTGAAACCCCCATCTCTACTAAAAATACAAAAATAAAATTAGCCGGGCGTGGTGGTGGGCGCCTGTAGTCCCAGCTACTCGGGAGGCTGAGGCAGAATGGCGTGAACTTGGGAGGCGGAGCTTGCAGTGAGCCGAGATCGTGCCACTGCACTCCAGCCTGGGTGACAGAGCAAGACTCCGTCTCAAAAAAAAAAAAAAAAAAAAAAAAAAAGAAAGGCCTATTTGGTTGGATTAGGGGGGTCAGGGGAGTACCAGAGAAAGGGGCCCAGAGAGAGGAGTGCCCTGAGGATTGGAGTTCTCAGGGGGACCTGCTCGATGTAACCCCACAAATGAAAATCTGGATTTTTCTGAGTCTTACATGTAAGCTAGTCTGGAAGGGACCATTTGGTGAACAGAATTACTCATCTTACTGGCCTGTCTCTCCCACTGCCCAGGACATTCCAGGGGCAGGTGAAGGCAGGTTCCTCCAAAGCTTAGGGAGTCCTTGGCTGAGAAAGCAGGAGCTCTAAGTCCTGGGCTCCAGTGTTCGCGGTCTGCCTCTGCTTGTCCAAGATGCTGATTATCACAGAACAGAGTCATGGGGAAGGGGGCGGAGCCAGAAGCAGCAGAGCTGGAAAGCCAGGCCATCATTAGGATTCAGGGATGCATGGCTCTCATCCATCACTGCAACTCAAAGTTCTGCCATGGGAGTCACTGCATGAGTCTCTCTTCCCCTCTCCTATTTCTCTTTTTTATTGTATTTATTTATATGTATGTATGTATTTTATTTATTTATTTATTTATTTATTTATTTTTTGAGACAGAGTCTCACTCTGTTGCCCAGGCTGCAGTACAGTGGTGCAATGTTGGCTCATTGGAGCTTCCACCTCCCGGGTTCAAGCAATCCTTGTGCCTCAGCCTCCCGAGTAGCTGAGATTACAGGCACCTGCCCCACCACGCCCAGCTAATTTTTTGTATTTTTAGTAGAGATGGGGTTTCACCACGTCGGCCAGGCTGGTCTCGAACTGACCTCAAGTGATCCGCCGACCTTGGCCTCCAAAAGTGCTGGGATTACAGGCGTGAACCACCGAGTCCGGCCTATGGATATATATTTTTAGAGACGAGATCTCACTTTGTTACCCAGGCTGGTCTCAAACTCCTGGACTCACGCAGTCTTCCCACGTCAGCCTCTCAGAGTGCTGGGATTACAGGAGTGAGCCACCACGGCTGGCCTATTTCTTTAATTTAATTTAATTTAATTTATTTATTTAGAGACAGAGTCTCACCCTGTCGCCCAGGCTGGGGTGCAGTGGCATGGTCTCAGTTCACTGCAACCTCCGCCTCCCGGGTTCAAGCCATTCTCCTGCCTCAGCCTTCTGAGTAGCTGGGATTACAAGCACGTGCCACCAAGCCTGGCTAATTTTTGTATTTTGAGTAGAGACGGGGTTTCACCATGTTGGAAAGGCTGGTCTTGAACTCCTGACCTTGTGATCCTCCCACCTCAAGCTCCCAAAGTGCTGGGATTACTGTGTGAGCCACCGCGCCCGGCCCGCCTTTCTCTTTTACAAAGGGACTCCACCACCTGCCTTCAGCCCAGAGTCAGTGTTAGTGAAACATTCACCAGATCTTCCTCCTCTGCCACTTGGAGGAGCCTGGAGCCCTGGACTGTGGTGAAGTTGAAGTGGAGTTGAACTAAGGGAGAATAATATTCAGAACAGCCATGTAGCCCTTGGGCTGAGATACTTGCAGGGTGTCAGAACTGGAAGAGACTCTAGGGCTCACTCACTCCACATCTCCCTCATTTTACCCCTGAGAAACTTGAGAGCCCACAGAGGGAAAGGGCTCACCCAGGTCACACTGCTAGGGCGGGAGGAGCAGGCTAGAACCCAGGTTCTCTGTCTCTCTACTGACTTTGCCACTCCATTTGTTTTCCTGTTTGAGAAGTAGAAGAGGCTAAAGTTATATGGGCCTGGGCACAGTGGTTCACACCTGTCATCCTGGCACTCTGGGAGGCCAAGGCGGATGGATCTCCTGAGGTTAGGAGTTCAAGACCAGCCTGGCCAACATGGTGAAACCCTGTCTCTACTAAAAATACAAAAATTAGCCGGGCATGGTGGCAGCTGCCTGTAATCCCAGCTACTCAGGAGGCTGAGGAAGGAGAATTGCTTGAACCCAGGAGGTGGAGGTTGCAGTGAGCCAAGATCGTGCCACTGCACTCCAGTCTGTGCAACAGAGCAAGACTCCATCTCAAAAAAAAGAAAAAAAGTTACATGGGAACAGGAGAAGGAAGCCATTGCCCTCTGGGCCTCTGGTTCTCCATGTGTTAAATGAGAGTAATGATGCTTTCCTGCCAACTCCCCTGCTTCTTCATGAAGCCTGAATGAAGGAATAGTGTGGAGGTGACAGCAGTGGCAGAATCATCTTCCTGGTGGCAACAGGACCTAGAGCGGAGGAGACAGTGAAAGAGCTGAGGGTGGGGCAGCGCAGATGGGCTCAGAAGAGGTGGGTTCACCTTGTCGTCCTCCCTAGGTGGGGCCCAGGCCTGGGTTGCCATGGATACCGTGTCCCTGGAGCATCAGATCCAGAGCGTGCAACGCCACATCAGCTTCCTGAAAAAGGAGCAGATGGCCCTGCTGCGAGACCTGCACCTGGAGATCCTGAGGCTGCAGAAACGCTGCTCAGGTGAGGCCAGGAGAGGCGGCTGGACGGGTGGGGAGAGGTCACTGTCATCATCACAACCACTGTCTCTGGGTTGTGCCCACCAACAGCCCCCGTGAGCCTCACACTGCACCGATTCTGCTGCCTCTTTTTCTGATTAAGGAAACTGGGACTTGGGGAGGTGAGATGGACAGAGAAGTTGGAAAAGTTCTAGAAACATCTGAAAGTTTCACAGCAAAGAGCTCTGGTTAGGGCTGGGCGCGGTGGCTCACACCTGTAATCCCAGCACTTTGGGAGGCCGAGGCGGGCGGATCACGAGGTCAGGAGATCAAGACCATCCTGGACAACATGGTGAAACCCCATCTCTACTAAAATACAAAAAATTAGCTGGTTACGGTGGTGGGCGCTTGTAGTCCCAGCTACTTGGGAGGCTGAGGCAGAGGAATCGCTTGAACCCAGGAGGTGGAGGTTGCAGTGAGCTGAGATCACGCCACTGCACTCCAGCCTAGATGACAGAGCAAGACTCTGTCTCAAAAAAAAAAAAAGCTCTGGTTAGGGAGTGGAGGACTCCTAGGATCCAAATCCTGGAGGTTCCCATCCTTTCCGAGTCACTCTTCACCAAGCAACTCCCAGCCCTCGGTCTAGCTAGGGAGACACACAGGCCAACTGGTGGTATTAAGGTAGAGCAGAAATCAAGCAGGACCTCATGGGCAGGAGCATGTCCAGCTTGAGGAGCAGGTGCTGAAGGAGGAGGCCCAGCCTCCGAGGCTCCCCAGAGGAGGGGGTGCTTCAACTCCCTGGAGGCTGCGTAACATGTGGACATGCCAAGATATCACAGGAGAAAGGGGAGTGAAGAGAGTATTCCAGATGAAGGGAACAGCACGGCAAAGGTCGAAAGGTGGGAAGCCAAAAGCTCATGGAAGGTTCTAGTTGATGGATAAAGCATCACTTAAAGGAGACAGATAAGAAATCCAGCTGGAGGCCAGGCACGGTGGCTCACACCTGTAATCCCAGCACTTTGGGAGGCCGAGGTGGGTGGATCACCTGAGGTCAGGAGTTCAAGACCAGCCTGGCCAACGTGGCGAAACCCCGTCTCTACTAAAAATACAAAAAATTAGCCAGGCGTGGTGGTGCACGCCTGTAATCCCAGCTACTCGGAAGGCTGAGGCAGGAGAATCGCTTGAACCTGGGAGGCAGAGGTTGTGGTGAGCCAAGATGGTTGCCATTGTACTCCATCCTGGGCAACAAGAGTGAAACTCTGTCTCAAAAAAAAAAAAAAAAAAAAAAAAAAAAAAGCCAGTGGTCCTGATTCAGCCATCACAGCTTCCTAAGGCTCCACAGACAGGGTCAGCCGCCACATTCTAATCTCCCCTGAAGATTGGACGGGAGCAGAGGCCAGCCTGGGGGACAAGAATGGCCCAAGTATCTCAGCCCTGCCTGATGCCACCTTTTCATTGCAATAACAAAATTATGAGAAGAGGAGCTGGGCACGGTGGCTCACGCCTGTAATCCCAGCACTTTGGGAGGCTGAGGCGGGCGGATCACCTGAGGTCGGGAGTTCGAGACCAGCCTGACCAACATGGAGAAACCCCGTCTCTACTAAAAATACAAAATTAGCCGGACGTGGTGGCACATGCCTGTAATCCCAGCTATTAGGGAGGCTGAGGCAGGAGAATCGCTTGAACCTGGGAGGCGGAGGTTGCGGTGAGCCGAGATCATGCCATTGCACTCCAGCCTGGGCAACAAGAGTGAAACTCCGTCTCAAAAAAAAAAAAAAAAGAGAAGAGGAAACCCTAAGACACCATAGCAGCTCCTGTCATTTCTTTCTGTTTTGCCCTAATTCTGAGAACTTGTGGCTCTTTTTAGGACACGGGCCAGATCCCAAAATGTGGAGCAGGCAGGAACAGAGCGCCCTCACCCACGCCATGCTTCTCAGATGGGTATGGGCCTGAAACCCCTTGGTTTTTTTTTTTACTAGTTATTTATTTATTTATTTATTTATTTATTTTTATTTATTTATTTATTTTGAGACAGGGTCTTGCTCTGTCGCCCAGGCTGGAGTGCAGTGGCGTGATCTCGGCTCACTGCAAGCTCCGCCTCCCAGGTTCACACCATTCTCCTGCCTCAGCCTCCCGAGTAGCTGGGACTACAGGCGCCTGCCAACACGCCCGGCTAATTTTTTGTATTTTTAGTAGAGACGGGGTTTCACCGTGTTAGCCAGGATGGTCTCGATCTCCTGACCTCGTGATCCGCCCACCTCGGCCTCCCAAAGTGCTGAGATTACAGGCGTGAGCCACCGTGCCTGGCCTTTTTTTTAATTTTTACAACAGAGTCTTGCTCTGTTGCCCTGGCTGGAGTACAGTGGCACGATCTCAGCTCACTGAAACCTCTGCCTCCCGGGTTCAAGCAATTCTCCTGCCTCAGCCTCCGAAGTAGCTGGGATTACAGGTGCCCGCCACCATGCCTGGCTAATTTTTGTATTTTTAGTAGAGATGGGGTTTCACCACGTTGGCCAGGCTGGTCTCAAACTCCTGACCTCAGATGATCTGCCCACCGTGGCCTCCCAAAGTGCTGGCTTTACAGGCATGAGCTACCACGCCCAGCCACCTCTAGGTTATTAAGGAGATGAAAATAACTAGGCTAGGCTAGAGCAGCCACTCTTGGGGCTGAAATGACTGAATAAGGCCTTTCCCCCAAGGAGGAGGTGATGAGAAGGGAGAAGATAAGGGGAAGGAGATTAAAGAGGGACCCAGAGCTGGGAGGCGGTTGGGAGAGAGGAGAGGCTGGTGTAGGAGCTGAAGGGATAGGCTGCCCAGGGAGCTGGCTAAGGATGGGTGAGGACTCAGAATGAAGGGCTTGAGAGGTGGGTACGTTCTGGGGTGGCGAAGCAGCCTGATTGATAAGAACTGCTCACACGCGTTCAGCACCAACTCAGCCCTGGGCCAAGCCCGCTGTTTTTTTCTCATTTAATCCTGGCGACAGCCTCTTGGAAAGGTGCTATTGTGCCCCCATTTTCCAGACGAGAAAACTGAGGCTCAGAGAAGTGCTGTTACTGGCCCAAGGTCACACAGCGTATCTGACCTCACAGCACGCTCATCTATAGCCCAGCTGAGATTTTTATCTCCCTACCCCCAAGTCCTGTGTTGAAAGGCTGAAGAGAAACCACCCACAGGGAGTTAATGGCGGAGCCAAGGTATCCCTGCTCCCAAATCCCTGAACCTAGGCCAAGGTCCCTGGGCTACATCACAAGGCCTTGAAGGAGGGGCCAGTTGGTCCCAGGAAGCCCTGGAGGTAGAAGCATCAGAGTCCTCACAGGTGCCTCAGGGAACAGGTTCAGACTCTGGTAACAGCAGAAGGCTCAGGCACCCTGAGCTGCCTGCCTCCAAGCAACAACCGGCCTCCTCAGAGAAGGCACCTCTGGCAAAGCCCTGGGTCTCTGGAAGAGCCGGTGAGGGCAGTGAGGAGGAGGGGCAGAGGGGTCACAAGGCCCCTGAAGGCGCTGCTGGGTGGTGGTCCCAGAGATGTGCCGCCTTCCTTCCCCAACCCCCGGTTCACACCTCCTCCCCGTGGACACCAGACTGTGTCCCTGCAGGTGTACACAGGTGCCCCCGAGTCGGTCTGCATCACAGGCAGCTGTGGCTTCTGGCTTCCTTCTGCCCTTGTACCAGTTCTTGAGCCCTGGTGGAGTTGGGGGAGTGGGGGTGGGGCTGGAAAAATTATCAAACTCACCTGGGCTGAGAAATGGGGCTTGGGGGACACTAAGGAATGGAGACTGGGGGGACAGGCAGGCAGAGGGGTGGCAGCTGGGCTGCAGCACCCAGGAGGAAACTGCTCCTGCACCAGTGCCCTTGAGTGGCTCCTAGGCTGCCCGCTCCACCCCCTCAGTGCCAAGCCCGGCCCCCATCAATAGACCGCACCGTCCTGCTCGAAGCCCTTCTCCCTGCCGTGGGGAATACGGCGCAACTGGGGCTTGGGAAGGGGCAGCGCTGATGTTCAGGTAATAACACAGGCTCAGCGGTACTGGCTGTCAAAATAGTGAAAAGCAAGTGTCCAGACTGGTAAGTAGCCACTGCCGAGCCTGCCTCCAGTGCCGCCAGGCAGTTCTGGACACTCCAGCGGCCATCAGCTAAACACGAAAGGGTCAAAGCCCTGCACGGCAAGGGTCCTCCAGAACTGCTTTGACTGGCTGGCATATCACCCCAGGAAAGGCAGATAGTCCCCCAGCCCCAAAACAAGCCAGGCTCCTCAGTCCCACGAGGGGTGAACTAAACTCCGAACCCAGGCTCAAAGCTGGAGCTGGGAAGATTTCTGAGCTTGGAGTCAAGCTGGCCAGGTTCAGGCTGTGCCCTGGACACATCTCTTCATCTCTTTCCCTTGCAGGGTTGCGGTAAAATAGTGTGGAGGTGGCTTCTAAAGATCCTTATTGCCACTTTACTGAGCTGTAATTCCATGATCTCTCTCTCTCTCTCTCTCTCTCACACACACACACACACACACACACACACACACACACACACAAACTGCCTTTTCTTTTCTTTCCCCCCAGAACTGACCCATGACCTGGAAATGAGAGAGGCCCAATCTCACCAGCAAGGTAAGAGAAGGACCACTGGTGGGGAAGCGTCATGGGGCCCAACAGCTGGAGTTTTTCCCAGCCCTTTGCAGGACCCAAACCTTCTCTGTCCCCAGCCTAGACTTGGGGATAGTCACTCCTTGGCTGGTGAGCAGAGTGCAGGATGTCAGCCACACTTGCCCAGTGGACGACATTGTGAAATGCCTTGTGCAGTGAACAACCTGCACCACCTCAGTTGGGTGACCTTGTGCAGTGAACAACCTGCACCACCTCAGTTGGATGACCTTGTGCAGTGAACAACCTGCACCACCACACATAGTAGCCTGTATCCATGTCTCTGTCCAAAGTGAGGAAAGTAAGGCATGAAGGAAATGGTAATGTGGCTTTACTTCCCCTTAGCCTGCTTAATTCCTTGCTGTGACCCACCTCCCCAGTCCTTCCCATCCTGGCACAAGTGATCACATGGTCAGTGTCAAGATTCACTGAACTGAGTGATCACAGGCCGAGTGTCAAGATGCATGTCAGGATGGGTTCCTTGACTTCAAGGAACTTGTTCTATACGAGAAAAGAAACACACACACATTAGTAAATCCTGCATTTTACAAAAGCATGACTTCTTGCCATTGTAGAAATTCCTCTAAAATATTTGTTTACTTCACCCATAACATGGGGGAGCTGGGGGAGTTCAATGGGTGTAGACTTTTACTTTTGCAAGATTAAAAAGTTCTAAAGATCTGCTGCACCCCAACATGAATATACTTAACAGTAATGAATGGTACTCCTACAAATGGTTAAGATGCTAAATTTTGTCATTTTTTCCCCCACAATTAATTTTTTAATTGCATTCTTGAGATCTTTATCATCAGATTATAAGATCTCAGAACTAGGACTGAGTGTTACCCATTGTCTCTGAAGTATAACGCACGTTACCTGACTTGGAGGGACACAGTAATTTTTTTTTTTTTTTTTTTTGAGACGGAGTCTCGCTCTTGTCGCCCAGGCTGGAGTGCAGTGGCACGATCTCGGCTCACTGCAACCTCCACCTCCCGTGTTCAAGTGATTCTCCTGCTGCAGCCTCCCAAGTAGCTGAGACAACAGGCGCACACCACCATCCACCGGCTAATTTTTTGTATTTCTTAGTAGAGACAGGGTTTCACCATGTTGGCCAGGCTGGTCTCAAACTCTTGACCTCAGGTGATCCACCCGCCTCAGCCTTGCAAAGTGCTGGAAGTACAGGTGTGAGCCACCGAGTCTGGCCAGGACATAGTAACTATTTAATTAAAAATGAATCACAAGGCCAGGTGTGGTGGCTCACGCCTGTAATCCCAAGACTTTAGGAAACCAAGGCAGGAGAATCACTTGAGCCCAGGAGTTCAAGACCAGCCTGGACAAAATAGTAAGACTCTGTCCCTACCATTTTTTTTTAATATTAAAAAAATGTTAAAAGGAATCATAAAAAGTCTTTCTTGGCCAGAAGAGTTCTTAAGAACAGACTCTCTTCCATACTGATGTATTGCTTATAGATCAAATGCTACAGGCTGGAAGTTTAAGCTATGATGTTAGGAACCCTAGAAACTGCTTTGTGTATTCATGCATGAAGATCAGTTACAGACCATCTAAACACTTACGAACTTGGACTAATCCTGCCCTCTTTAGAGGACAACCACAGGCAACCTCTTGGTGCCTAGGTGGCTGGAGGAAGGCAGCACATGCCCCAGACACTAGATTAGGACAGTTCTGTGACACAGCCACTTTCACCCCACTTACTGTCCTTTATCTGAAAGGGCTTTTGAGATCACCTGGGCCCAAGCCACTGCCCCAATCCAATGTCTTCATCTTTTTGTTTTTTTTGTTTTTTTTTTTTGAGACGGAGTCTCGCTCTGTCGCCCAGGCTGGAGTGCAGTGGTGCGGTCTCGGCTCACTGCAAGCTCTGCCTCCCGGGTTCACGCCATTCTGCCTCAGTCTCCCGTGTAGCTGGGACTACAGGCGCCCGCCACCACGCCCGGCTCATTTTTTGTATTTTTAGTAGAGACGGGTTTCACCGTGTTAGCCAGGATGGTCTAGATCTCCTGACCTCGTGATCCACCCACCTCGGCCTCCCAAAGTGCTGGGATTACAGGCATGAGCCACCGCGTCTGGCCTTTTTTTTTTTTTTGAGACATACTCTGTCACCCAGGCTGGAGTGCCATGGCACCATCTCTGCTCACTGCAACCTCTGCCTCCTAGGTGGGTTCAAGAGATCCTTCCACCTCAACCTCGAGATTAGCTGGTACTACAGATACATGCCACCATGCCCAGCTTTTTTGTAGAGAGGGGTTTCGCCATGTCACCCAGGCTGGTTTTGAACTCCTGAGCTTAAGCAATTTGCCCCCCTCAGCCTCCCAAAGTGCTGGGATTACAGGCACGACCACTGTGCCTGGCTCTTTCAATGGGCTTTGAGAACTCTTTCTTTTTTTAGAGACAGGATCTTGCTCTGTTGTCCAGGCTGTAGTGTGCAGTAGCAGAATCATAGCTCACTGCAGCTTTGTACTCCTGGGCTCAAGAGATCCTCCCACCTCAGCCCTCCCCTGAGTCACTGGGATGAGTGTGTCAACCCACTGGGCTTAAGAACTTTCTTTGTCCTCTTTCGTTTTTTTTTTTTTTGAGACGGAGTCTCACTCTGGCGCCCAGGCTGGAGTGCAGTGGCGCGATCTCAGCTCACTGCAACCTCCGCCTCCCAGGGTCAAGCAATTCTCCTACTTCAGCCTCCCAAGTAGCTGGGATCACAGGCGCACACCACCATACCCAGCTAATTTTTGTATTTTTAGTAGAGACGGGGTTTCGCCATGCTGGCCAGGCTGGTCTCGAACTCCTGACCTTGTGATCCGCCCACCTTGGCCTCCCAAAGTGCTGGGATTACAGGCGTGAGCCACTGCACCCAGCCCTCTTTGTCCTCTTATCACTTGGTGATTTTCATCCTTCCAGGGTCACTCTTTGCCACTTTCGGCTGCCTACGTCCCTACACTCACCTGTGCCAAGTCCTAGGATATGGTCCTGCCGAGATGGAGCTTCCAGGAGGCAGGGGTCCTCAACTCACGCTGCACGTGAGAACCACCGGGGAAGATTTAAGCAACACCAGTTCCCAGGTCCAGCTCCAGGGATGCTGGTGCAATTGGTCTTTCATAGCGCCCAGGAAACAGCACTGGTTAAAGCTCTCTGGGTGGTTCTAATGTCTATCCAGGGTTGAAACCTGCTGCAGTGGCAAAGGCCAACAATAAACAAGTAAACAAAAAATGACAAACATGTGGCCAGGCACGGTGACTCCCACCTATAATCCCAGCACTTTATGAGGCTGAGGCAGGAGGATTGCCTGAACCCACAAGTTCGAGACCAGCCCAGGCAACATGGCAAAACCTCATCTCTACAAAAAATGTGCATGCCTGTGGTCCCAACTCCTGGGAAGGCTGAGGTGGGAGAATTACTCAAGCCCAGGTGATAGAGGCTGCAGTGAGCTATGCCGCTGCACTCCAGCCTGGCAAGAGGGAGACTTTGTCTCAAAAAAAAAAAAAAAAAAGGGCTGGGCGTGGTGGCTCACGCCTGTAATCCCAGCACTCTGGGAGTCCGAGGCGGGTGGATCACAAGGTCAGGAGTTTGAGACCAGCCAGGCCAATATGGTGAAACCTCATCTGTAAAAATACAAAAATAAATTAGCTGGGTGTGGTAGCGGGTGCCTGTAATCCCAGCTACTCCGGAGGCTGAGGCAGGAGAATCGCTTGAACCCAGGAGGCAGAGGGTGCAGTGAACCGAGATCATGCCACTGCACTCCAGCCTGGGTGACAGAGTGAGACTCTGCCTCAACAACAACAAAAGAGGCCAGGTGCAGTGGCTCACGCCTGTAATCCCAGCACTTTGGGAGGCTGAGGCGGGAGGATGACCTGAGGTCAGGAGTTCAAGACCATTCTGGCCAACATGGTGAAACCCCGTCTCTACTAAAAATACAAAAATTAGCCGGGCGCGGTGGCTCATGCCTGTAATCCCAGCACTTTGGGAGGCTGAGGCAGGCGGATCACGAGGTCAGGAGATCGAAACCATCCTGGCTAACATGGTGAAACCCTGTCTCTACTAAAAATACAAAAAAAAAAATAAGCCAGGCATGGTGGCGGGCGCCTGTAGTCCCAGCTACTCAGGAGGCTGAGGCAGGAGAATGGCTTGAACCCGGGAGGTGGAGCTTGCAGTGAGCCAAGATTGCGCCACTGCACTCCAACCTGGGCGAGAGAGCAAGACTCCATCTCAAAAAAAAAAAAATATATATATATATACAAAAATTAGCTGGGTGTGGTGGTGTGCACCTGTAATCCCAGCTACTTGGGAGGCTGAGGCACGAGAACTGCTTGAACCCGTAAGGCTAAGGTTGCAGTGAGCCGAGATTGCACCACTTGCACTCCAGCCTGGCGACAGAGCAAGACTCTATCTCAAAAAAAAAAAAAAAAAAAAAAAAAGACGTGATAAAATGCCCTATGGAGGAAACAAGGACACTGACTCCCTTCCTGTGCACACTGGCAGCTCTTTCAGTCCCTTGCTCTCTGGACTTTTACACAAGCTGTTCCCTCCATCTGCAGCATCCTTCTCTCCTGTCTTCACTACTTAACTCCTGTTTATCCTTCAGATCTTAGCTCAAGTCTCTTCTGCTGGGAAGACTTCCCTGATGAGGTCACATTCTCCAGTTACAGTCACAGCATTGACTTTCCACATGTCACATTTGCAACCTCACACGTATTTGTGATTATTTACTATGTCTCTCCCACTATGCAATAAGCTTCACAGAGACCGTTTTATTATGCGCCCTATCTCCAATACCTAACACAATGCACAAAGTCAGGGCTCCACAAATTCTCTGTGGAATGAATAAAGGGCCAGGAAGGGGTTTGCACTTAAGCTGAAACCTGAAGAATTAGAGACCAAGCAGAGGGTAGAGTAGGTACGAGGGCGGAACAAGGAAGGCCACTGAGCCGACGCGTGGGGAAGGAGGGGGAGCGCGGTAGGACGTGCAGGTGGGGACGTGGGGAGGAGTGGGGCTTTGTTTTGTTTTTTTGTTTTTGCTTTTTGAGACGGAATCTCGTTGTGTCACCTAGGCTGGAGAGCAGTGGCGTGATCTCGGCTCACTGCAACCTCCGCCTCCCCGGTTCAAGCGAGTCCCCTGTCTCAGCCTCCCGAGTAGCTGGGATTACAGGCGCCCACCACCACCACCACCACGCCCGGCTAATTTTTGTATTTTTAGTAGAGACTGGGTTTCACCATGTTGGCCAGGCTGGTCTCGAACTCCTGACCTCAAGTCCATCTGCCCATCTCGGCCTCCCAAAGTGCTGGGATTGCAGAAATGAGGCCCCGCGCCCGGCCTGGGGGTTTTGTTACACGGAGCTCTGAGCCGTGCAGGTTCTGTTCCAAGCCAGGGGGAGACCGTCACCTCTGGCCTCTGCCCCGTTCCAGAGGCGGCGTCCCGGGAGCTGGAGAGCAAGTGCCGCGCGCTGGAGTCGCAGCTGGAGGCGCGTGCTGCGGCCAACGCGGAGCTGCGGCGGGAGGTGGCGCAGCGCGAGGCGCTGGTGTCCGCGCTGCGCTGCAGCCTGCGCACCGAGGAGCGCCGCTTCCTGGAGGAGCTGCGCCGCCGCAGCCACCGCGCCACCGTGCTGGGCACCGAGCTGCAGAAGCACACCGAGGCGGCCGCCTACCTCTCCTGCCAGCTGCACGCGGCGCGCCAGAGACTGCAGGCCCCGCGCCCGGGCCCCGGCGCCACCGCCGAGCCCAGGCCACGCCGCCGCGCACTGCGAGCCCGCCGCCCGCCTGCTGCCCACGAGGCCGCCGCCAAGGGCCCCGGCCGGGACTGGGCCGCCTGGGACCGCGGGGCCGGCGCCCTCGACGACGCCGACCCCATGCCCGACCCCGCGCTCTTCCTCTATGCACGCAGGCCGCTGCGGCCCAGCGCCCGCAGCCCGCGCCAGCCGCCTCCCCAGGAGCCCCCGGACCGAGCCGGCCCGCAGCCCGCGCCCAGCCAGCCCAGCGCGCCCGGGGACCCGGAGTAGGCGCCAGGCTGGCCGGGGTGACGCGGGACGGACGGGGAGGGCCGGCCAGGGACGCAGCTCGGTCCCCGCAGGCAGGTCCCGGGTCGGAGGGCAGCCGCCCCTCCTCCAGGAAGCGGGGCGAGGCGGCCCCGGCTCCCCCCAAATCCCCGAACCGCCAGCCTTTTGTACTTCCCGACGTTTCCAAAGCTTCGAGCCCTCTCCTCGCGCGAGAGTTCCTCCGCGGGGCCGAGCGGGGGCACCTTCTCTACCGAGAGGACTCGCCGTCCCGATCCTGGCCTGGTCCCACCTGCCTGTGAGACAGGAGGGGCGGGGGCCACGCCCTTCCCCGGGAAAGCCGACAATCCTTGGTGGGGTGGGGAGGGCTGGGCTCGCCTACGGAAAGGGACGCAGAGTGGCATTGGCGCCCCAGGCCCTCTAGCTCCCCACCCCCCGCCTCCCCCACCCCCGCGCCGACGCCCTTCCCGCCAAGCCTTCTTCCTCCCCAGGAGAGGCCCAGGCTAGGGGCTGGTCCTTCTACCCCCACCCTGACCCTGCCGATAGGTCCTTGCAGGTGAGCACGGAACACTTTAGAAGACACGTCCTCCCAGAGCCCCTGGTGGGAAAAGTGCGCCTGATGGAAGCCTAACTTCCATGGGCCCTGGGAGAGGATTACAGAACCGCCTGGTTGGCCGGACTTGGTCTAGAGCCGTCTCCAGCTCAGCTCTTCCCGAGTCGCCACCCCGCTGGGTATGCAGGGACTGGGAGCTCTGCTGGGGAAGGGAGGTGACAGGCCTGCTGCTGGCCAGGCTTCTGGAAGGCAGGAGCTGTCTTCCTTCTCAGGAGGCAGCCCCAGGCGTTTTCCTGGTCCTGTTTATTGGTGCTAATGTTGCTCGGCTTCCTAATCAGCTGGCTGCACCCAGAGACAAGAAGAAGAGAGCCTTGGCTGGGCGCGGTGGCTCACTCCTGTAATCCCAGCACTTTGGGAGGCCGAGGTGGGCGGATCACCTGAGGTCAGGAGTTCGAGACCAGCCTGGCCAACGTGGTGAAACCCCGTCTCTACTAAAAAATACAAAAATTAGCCGGGCGTGGTGGTGCACGCCTGTAATCCCAGCTACTCCGGAGGCTGAGGCAGGAGAATCGCTTGAACCTGGGAGGCAGAGGTTGCAGTGAGCCAAGATCGCGCCACTGCACTCCAGCCTGGGCAACAAGAGCAAAACTCCGTCTCAAAAACGAAAAAAAGAAGAAGGGCCTGGCTTCTTGGAAGTGGCAGCTACTGATAGGAGTTTGGGTTTGTGTTTGCTGGGGGGATGGTGGGAGCACAGGTTAGTCCCCATCCTGGCCCCCTCCACGGATGCCCCTAAACCTATCAGAATCTGGCAGTGGCGGGCTGCTCAGTTCCCTGCTGTCTAGCCTGGGGAATGGCGACGTGGAAAGGGGAAAGCCCCACCTCCTAACGCCCCTTCTCCCAAGCTCCCCGTCCACCACCAAAGGCAGGAAGGACAGTTTCAGCGCAGCTTATTCCCCCACCCCCAGCCCAGCCTAGAAGGAAACACAAACCCCTCCAGCCCGTGCCATCCCTCCTGTGTGGGTCCTGCATCAAGTCCTAAGTGCCTGTGAGGTCTTCCAGGGGCTTCGAGGGGAGGACGTGGGGCAGGGAGAGGCCTTTGCCTCCCTCACAGACACCCCTTTCCTGACAGGTCCTGACCCTGGCTGAGGCCACACATTCTGTCACGCAGGGGTCTGGGAGGTGAGCAGAGTCAAGCTCTAGGGGTGACGAGCTCTTCTCCCATCACAGCCCCATGAAGAAGGGGGAGTCCCAGATCACACCCCCTTTCTCTCCATTTGTTGGAGCAGGAAATTGGCAAGAAGTAGAAACCAGTGAGCGAGCGCACTCAGGGCCAAGCAATGTGCGGCTCTCCCAGCTGACGCCACTCGGGACTGCCCAAGACCACTGAGCAATAACCACGCCTGGTCTGGGGTGTCCAGCTCCTGGGATGCAGATGGCTGAGGTTGGGGCACCCTTGGGACAGTGCTCTCCAGTCCAACTTGGGCCAAGAAGGTGGCCTGGGGTCCTTGCTCTGCCTGCCCCCACCTCTACTCTCTACTAGTCCTGTGGTTGCGCCTGTACCATCTCTGTCCCCCCTCAAGTGTGTGTAACTCACTGCACCCCTATTCTGTCCCCCTCCCTTTCAGAACCTGTCTTGTGTGTGAGGGCCTCACTCCTCTCTCGGAGGTGCCCAGAGGACTGTGGGAAGAAGGGCAAAGTCTCTTTCCAGAGGAGCGTGCACAGACCCTCATCTCCCACGACCACACTTTTGGGGTGAACAGGGTGACTTTGTTAGGTCGATTCTTCTGCAGAGATGGTGAAGTACTCTATCTGCCCACCCACCCACTAAAAGCCATAGCTCCGTCCGCCTGGCCTCCCCCCAGCTCTATAGCAATAGCCCCCTTCCCCCTTCCCTCCTGGGCATCCAGGGTGTCCAGCTAGGGGCCCCCACCGCACTCTGGTCCCAGGGATCTTCCAGTGGCCTGCCTGCTTCTCCCGAAGTGACCCCATCAGCTCCACCCAACTCCCATCCCTCTTCCAGCAACCACAGATAATGACAATTGTTTGTGAGGTGCTTGGAGATCCCCTAGATGAAAGGTTCTGGGTGCTGGGGCAGCTGACTCACTGACTCTCAGCTGAGGTGCTGGAGGTGCCTGGGAAAGGAAATAAGGCAAGCTGGGGGAGCACCTGTAGCAGATACAGGGTTCCAGTTTTCACAGAAATTCCCCTCCTCGCCCTCCTGGAAATAATGGAAACCCCTCCACCCGCCTGCACAGAACCCTCTGTGCAGCAGAACGAGACTGGGAGCTGGAGTGCATGGCCCGCTCTTGGCCACAGGGGCCCAACTCTCCTCAGCCTCAGGGCCCTGGAGAGGCCCCACCCTCCCTGGGTCTGGCTTGAGAGCCCACCTGGCCAAAGGGAAACCTCGCACCCCCACGCGCTCCTGGCCCCTGGAATATCTTGGTGACTAAGAAGGGAAAGGACTGCATTTCTCTCTCCTCTGCTGCACGAATCCCCATTGGGAGAGAGAGTGTTGAAGAGGACACTCAGGTCCCTAGGCGGAGCTCCTGCCACACCCCAAGTATGGACAGCTCCAGGACACAGAGCTGCAGGTGGGGACCTCCCCCTGCTCTGGAAATCAGCCAGGGAGCACTGGGCAGTGCGGTTTGAGGCTCTGTACCCCTGGCCCCCACAGCTCAGCCACAGCACCCTCTAGCTTGGGGGACTAGTCCAGGGCCAAAATGGGATAACCCTTCCCCATATAAGCAGTAGGATGGCGTCCCCCCTGGTGGAGAGAGGAAGGAGGCCTAGAGGGTGTGGGGCAGCTTCGAAGCGCGGGGAGCCGGGGGTCTCCAAGCACCTTCTCCTGGACATGCCAGCCTTGAATGGGGGATGTGCAGGGCTTCAAACCCACCTGGCAGGAGCCCTGTGGCAGGGCAGAGGGACCCTGCTCCAAATTCTCTGTTGGCTGCGCTTTTGTATCCAATGCTTTTCAGAGTGTATTCACTCACCCACAGAAATAGAGCCCTGTGCTTTAGGGGTGACTGTCATATGCCTTATTCTTAATAAAATCTCTGAAAAACACGTGAGTCCAATCTCTTGCATTGGGCACTCGGCCCCACCACACCTCGGTTCTTGCAGGTGTGGGAAGAGCATGTGGATGAGCCAGGAGGTGGTTCAGGGTCAGCCAGGGGGTACGATGAGACCAGGAGCTGAGACTCTGGGGTCCCCTCAGTAGATAACCCCTCAGATGGGCCGGGCGTGGTGGCTCACGCCTGCCATTCCAGCACTTTGGGAGGCCGAGGTGGGCAGGTCACTTGAGGTCAGGAGTTCAAGGCCAGCCTAGCCAACATAGTGAAACCCCATCTCTATCTAAAAATACAAAAATTAGCCAGGCGTGGTGGCGCGTGCCTGTAATCCCAGCTACTCAGGAGGCTGAGGCAGGAGAATCCCTTGAACCCAGGAGGCAGAGGATCCAGTGAGCTGAGATCGCACCAGTGTATTCCAGCCTGGGTGACAGAGTGAGACTATCTCAAAAAAAAAAAAAAAAAGCTGTTCCTCAGATCAAGTATAAGGCACCCATCTGAGGTGTCCTCACCCTCAGCCAAGCCCTGCCCCTCTCTCCATGCCACCCCAATCCAAATGAAGAAACAGAATCTTAGATCACAGGCTCCTGACTAGAGTGGAGAGGAGAAGATTGGAAGGGTCCAGTGCCTGGAATTGCCCACTGTCCTTTCCCAGAAGGAATCCTGGGTTCTGGCATCTTTGGCCATGCTGGTGCCCTGCCCCCCACCTGATCCAGCTGCAAGAAGCCCCGCATCCCGGCAGGAGCCCTATTCTTATCCTCCACTAAAGAGGGTTATCCTGGGACTGCAGCTTTAGGAGCTCAGCGCAGCCAGCACCATGAGAACTCAAGCTGGTACATTTTCAATGCAGGTCTATGTTGGGGATGACTCAGAGAAAAAGGCAGCAGCTCTGTGTTCTAAGGACACGGGGGACCAAAACCAAAACCAAAAAAAGTGGCTTTGCTTGCAACCCTCCTGAAGGAAGGACGCATCTCTTCCTTCCTCCTAAAGGAAGGACCCAGGTGGAAGGACCCATCTCTTCCTTCTGGGGAACTGCTCTGCACCCATCTCAGTCCATGTGTGGGGAGGGCGGACTCCACCCATGTGGCCCAGGCGTGGCAGGTCACAGTGATCGGGCGGAAGAAGACATGCAACTCCATCTGAGCCAACAAGAGTCAATCTTGGGCCTTTTGCTGGAGACATTCATTCAGCACCTCATGTTAGGTGCCGTTTGGTTCAGCAGTGAACAAAGCATGACTATGGAGAAGGACAAACTCTTGGGTGGCTAAAATGGCACCCAAGAAATCTGGCAGGTCATTTGCCACTACAAGGGGTAAAGCTGCCTGAGTATAAAGCTACCACAAGAGAAACAGAATGGCTGGGCGCGGTGGCTCACGTCTGTAATCCCAGCACTTTGGGAGGCCGAGGCGGGCGGATCACGAAGTCCGGAGTTCGAGACCAGCCTACCCAACGTGGTAAAACCCCATCTTTACAAAAAGCACACAAAAAAAAGCCGGGCATTGTGGTGGGCACCTGTAATCCCAGCTACTCGGGAGGCTGAGGCAGGAGAATCCTTTGAACCTGGGAGGCAGAGGTTGCAGTGAGCCGAGATCATGCCATTGCACTCCAGCCTGGGCGACAGGGCGAGACTCCGTTCCAAAAAAAAAAAAAAAAGAGAGAGAAACAGAACAAAGAGATATGGAGACAATTCCAGATAATCAAGTCACTTGGATCCAGCCATGCCCGAAGCTCACAGACTCCTACCCTTTTCTGTTACATGGATCAATAAATCCCCTCCCCCTCCCAAACTTAGGTGTGGAATTTTTTTTTGTTTCTGTTGGTTTTGTTTTTGAAATGGAGTTTCACTCTTGTTGCCCAGGCTAGAGTGCAATGGCACGATCTCAACTCACTGCAACCTCTGCCTGCCGGGTTCAAGGGATTCTCCTGCCTCAGCCTCCTGAGTAGCTGGGATTACAGGCATGCACCACCACGCCCGGCTAATTTTGTATTTTTAGTAGAGATGGGGTTTCACTATGTTGATCAGACTGGTCTTGAACTCCCGACTTCAGGTGACCCGCCCCCTTGGTTTCCAAAAGTGCTGGGACATGAGTCACCACTCCCGGCTGTTTGTTTTTTTTAGAGACAAGGTCTCACTGTGTTGCTCAGGCTGGACTTGAACTCTGGTGCTCAAGGGGATCCTTCCACCTCAGCCTTCTGAGCAGCTGAAGAGTACAGGCCTAGCTAACAACACACACACACATGTATATGTATACTCAAAATATATATATATTGACACAGTCTTGTTCTATTGCCCAGGCTGAAATGCAGTGGCCACGTGGAAAATAACACACCTGGCCAGTTTTTTCCTACTTTTTATTTTGAACTCAGTTTCTTGCTTAAGCCTCTAGACTCAGGTTTGGGCCCAGGATGGGCTGGGACCAGGACCTGCAGCAAGCCCAGGCAGCCTGGCCCAGGCCTCTTCTTGTTCTTAGCCTTTTATCTCCTGGGGCAATTAGGGAACCGAAGGCCCAGCCTTGGATAAACATCTGCCCAAGACTCTTGAGTCTCATGTACAATTTCAGAAAACGAGAAAAGAAAGGGAGCGGGGCGCAGTGGCTCATGCCTGTAATCCCAGCACTCTGGGGGGCCAAGGCAGGCGGATCACTTGAGGCCAGGAGTTTGAGACTAGCCTGGCCAACATGGTAAAACCCCATCTCTACTAAAACTACAAAAATTAGCTCGGCATGGTGGCACAACCCTGTAATTCCAGCTACTCTGGAGGCTGAGGCAGGACAATCGCTTGAATCTGGGAGGCAGAGGCTGCAGTGAGCCGGGGTCATGCCACTGCACTCCAGCCTGGGCAAGAGAGTGAGACTCTGTCCCAAAAAAGAAAAGAAAAAGAAAGAGAAGTGTGGGGAGGGCAGGGCACAGGCATTAGAGTTCCCCAGACAGACAGACCCCTGGGGATGCTTGACTAAGCCCATCCCAGAGTCACAGTTCAGGGTGGAGATATGGAATGTCAAAACCAGATAACTGTTTTGTTTGTTTGTTTGAGATGGAGTCTCGCTCTGTCACCCAAGCTGGAGTGCAGTGGCACCATCTCGGCTCACTGCAAGCTCTGCCTCCTGGGTTCACGCCATTCTTCTGCCTCAGCCTCCCAAGTAGCTGGGACTACAGGCACCTGCCACCACACCCGGCTAATTTTTTGTATTTTTAGTAGAGAAGGGGTTTCACCGTGTTAGCCAGGATAGTCTCGATCTCCTGACTTCATGATCCGCCCGCCTCAGCCTCCCACAGTGCTGGGATTACAGGCGTGAGCCACCGCCCGGCTGTTTTTTTTTGAGAGGGAGTCTCACTGTCACCCAGGCTGGAGTGCAGCAGCGCAATCTCGGCTCACTGCAACCTCCTCCTTCCGGGCTCCAGTGATCCTCCCACCTCAGCCTCCCGAGTAGCTGGGATTGTAGGTGTACACCACCCATGCCCAGCAGATTTTTTTTTTTTTTTTTTTTTTGTATTTTAGTAGAGCCAGGATTTCACCATGTTGGCCAGGCTGGTCTCGAACCTCTGACCTCAAGTGATCTGCCCACCTGGGTCTCCCCAAGTGCTGGGATTACAGGCGAGAGCCACTGCGCCCAGCCTCAGATAACTCTTAAAGATCATCTGTGCAACCCCTTCATTTTACACATGGGGAAACTGAAGCTCAGGGCATCTTGCTGGCGGTTACCCCTTCCTTCCTGGCAGTTCTGCCCATGCAGTTTTGGGGTTGAGGGAGGTGGAGAACTTCCTTTCTAGGGGTTCCCAGAGATTGGCCAGGGAAGTAGGGGACTCTGTGCCGCAGTCGAAGGGATTTGGGTTCCCACATCACCTCTCCAGCCCCCTAGGGAACTGTGCAAAGGAGGGGGAAATAGGAATGTAGGAATGGCCTGCTGAGTGGGTGTATCCATGATAACAGTAATTAGGGAGGTGGGAGGCTTTGAGCGGGCTAATTATGCAGGCTGGGTCTCAGACTAGATAACCCTCCTCCTTATCTTTATGCAGGGACCCAAAAGATAGGAAAACTGCAGTGCTCAGGAGTGCCATGAGGTAGCCCTAAGGACGCCTGCTGTGCAACAGGACCCTGCGAGGGAAAGGGGAAGGGATCCACCAAAGATAAACTGCAGATTATTTTATTTGTTTGTTTTTGTTTTTTGAGGCGGAGTCTTGCTCTGTCACCTAGGCTAGAGTGCAGTGGCATGATCTTGGCTCACTGCAACCTCCGCCTCCTGGGTTCAAGTGATTCTCCTCCCTCAGCTCCCAAGTAGCTGGGATTACAGGCACCCGCCACCTCACCAGGTTAATTTTTGTAGTTTTAGTAGAGACAGGGTTTTGCCATGTTGTCCAGGCTGGTCTTGAACTCCTGACCTCAGGTGATCCACCTGCCTTGGCCCCCAAAGTGCTGGTATTACAGGCGTGAGCCACTGCGCCCGGCCTTAAACTGCAGATTCTAAAGCTGCTGGGACTGGTTCGTCACTAGGCCCATGGACAAACTGGTCACCGATCCCCATGCTGACCGGTAGGCACTTACGGACGCTCACTGACCCTGAGGAGGATAGGGAGAGGTGCCTCCGCTTGGCATCCTCCGTGGGCTCAGGCTGGTGGGTCTCAGTCAGGCATTATGGAAATGATCTGAAGTTCTAGACACAAAGGTCAAAGCATACAGTACACAAAAGGAGTGTCTGAAAGGAAAGCCAACTGTTATAAATAATGGGGGACTCAGCCAGGCACAGTGGCTCACGCCTGTAATCCCAGCACTTTGGGAGGCCAAGGCGGCAGACCACCTGAGGTCGGGTGTTCGAGACCAGCCTGACCGACATAGAGAAACCACCTCTACTAAACCCATCTCTACTAAAACCCTACTAAACTCTACTAAAACCCTACTAAAACCCATCTCTACTAAAAATACAAAATTTGCCAGGCCTGGTGGCGCATGCCTGTAATCCCAGCTACTGGGGAGGCTGAGGCAGGAGAATTGCTTGAACCTGGGAGGCAGAGGTTGTGGTCAGCCAAGATTGAGCCATTGCACTCCAACCTGGGCAACAAGAGCAAAACTCCGTCTCAAAAAATAAATAAATAAATAAATAATGGGGGGCTCAAAGGTGAAACCCCAGGCTGCCAGCAATGCTGCCCCCCCACATCCTGTGGAGCCCTCAGGGCCTGGCACCTTCTACACTGAAATCATTCACTCAGTCAACAAATGTGCATTAAGTGGGGTATGGTCGTGTGCACCTGTAATCCCAGCTACTCAGGGAACTGAGACGGGAGGGTCACTTGAGCCCATAAGTTGGAGGCTTCCGTGAGCCGTGATCATGCCACTGCACTCCAGCCTGGGCAACAGAATGAGACCCTGTCTCTAAAAATAAAATTAAAAATAAATAAATGTGCATTAAACACCTACCATGCATTGGGCTCTGGAAAGATGCTGGGAACACCCAGATAAATAAGTTATGGTTCTTGCCTTCAAGAAGTCCCCAGGTCGGCCAGGCGCGGTGGCTCATGCCTGTAATCCCAGCACTTTGGGAGGCCAAGGCGGGCGGATCACGAGGTCAGAAGTTCGAGGCCAGCCTGACCAACATGGTGAAACCCCATCTCTACTAAAAATACAAAAATGAGCCGGGCATGGTGACGCATGCCTGTAATCCCAACTACTTGGGAGGCTGAGGCAGGGAATCACTTGAATCCGGGAGGTAGAGGTTGCAATGAGCTGAGATCACGTCACTGCACTCCAGCCTGGGCGACAGAGCAAGACTCCATATCAAAAAAAAATAAAAAATAACAAAGTCCCCGGGTCTAGCAGCTGGACTCCTCACCCAAGACCCAGACATCCCAGTATGGCCAAGAGGGTCTCAATTTATGCCTATTGCCCCTGTGTCATTATTAATAGGTTCCACTTGCACTCTCAAAAGTGTTCTGGTTTTAATGATAAACTATGCGATCACCTTAACCATAGCACATTGTTATAGGCAATGGTGGAAATAGCTGGGGAAAATGGGAGTATGTGCTGTTAAGACTATGATGGAGGCCGGGTGCGGTGGCTCACGCCTGTAATCCCAGCACTATGGGAGGCCAAGGTGGGCAGGTCACCTGAGGTCAGGAGTTCAAGACCAGCCTGGCCAACATGGTGAAACCCCCTCTCTACTAAAAATACAAAAATTAGTCGGGCATGGTGGCGGGCGCCTGTAGTCCCAGCTACAAGGGAGGCTGAGGCAGGAGAATCGCTTGAACCCGGGAGGCGGGGTTGCAATGAGCTGAGATCTTGCCACTGTTCTCCAACGTGAGCTACACAGCGAGATGCTGTCCCAAAAAAAGACTATGATGAAAAGACTTTGGTGGAAGCTGTGTGAAAGCAAGAATCAGTCTGCTTAATGTGTGGTCAGAGGTCAGACCACCAGACTATGGAGAATGTGATCAGAGGATGATTTTTTTTTCTTTTCTTTTCTTTCTTTGCTTTCTTTTTTTTTTTGAGACAGGGTCTTGCTCTGTCGCCCAGGCTGGAGTGCAGTGGCGAGATCCTGCAGCCTCAACCTCTTGGGCTCAAGTGATCCTCCTACCTCAGCCTCCTGAGTAGCAGGGACTATAGGCGCACACCACCACACCCAGCTAATTTTTGTATTTTTTGTAGAGATGAGGTTTTGCCATATTGCCCAGGCTGGTGTCCAACTCCTGAGCTCATACAATCTGCTCTCCTCGGCCTCTCAAAGTGTTGGCATTACAGGCGTGAGCCGCCGCACTCGGCTGGATGATGCTTTTTATACGTGTCTGTTTCTCTAACCCCAGGCTTGCTGCTCTTCCCCAACCCCCAGGGTTAAAACTGAGCTTCCTATTATGAGTAGCATTAGCAACATGCACGGGCTTCCAACTTCAGCTGCACTGGGCCACTAGGCACAATTCTCAAAAACCCTGGAGTTTCATGAATACAAACTAAGTACCCATCAGTCAGGTGACCGGCTAAAAGAATTATGGTACAACCAAACAATACAACATTATCCAGCGTAAATGGAATGAGAACACCTACTGAAAGCGTGTAAAAAAAAAATCAGAGTGAAGAATAGCAGGTACAATTTTCTGCACATTTGTGTAACAAAAGAGGAACGAGTGTGTGTATACACATACGTATATACACACGCACACATAAGTATGTATGTGTATATATACACACATATATACACACTTTTATATATATTGATTATAAATATATATATTTTATATATACACTTATATATATACACACTATATATATACACACACTATATATATACACACTATATATACACACTATATATATATACACACACTATATATATATATGCACACTTTTTTTTTCTTTTTTTGAGACGGAGTTTCTCTCTTGTTGCCCAAGCTGGAGTGCAATGGCGCGATCTCGGCTCACCGCAACCTCCACCTCCTGGGTTCAAGCGATTCTTCTGCCTCAGCCACCCGAGTAGCTGGGACTACAGGCGCACACCACCATGCGCAGCTAATTTTTGTATTTTTAGTAGAGACGGGGTTTCACCATCTTGGCCAGGCTGGTCTCTAATTCCTGACCTCGTGATCCGCCCGCCTCTGCCTCCCAAAGTGCTGGAATTACAGGCGTGAGCCACCGCGCCCGGCTTTTTTTTTTTTTTTTTTTTTGAGACGGTGTCTGTGTCACCCAGGCAGGAGTGCAGTGGTGCGATCATAGCTCACTGCAGCTTGGAACTCCTGGGCTCAATCTGAGCCGTCCTGAGTGATACTCCCAGCTCAGCTCCCAAGTAGCTGGGACTACAGGCGCGTGCCACTACACCTGGCTTTTTTTAAACAATATTTTTTGTAGAGACGGGGGTTTTGAAATGTTGCCCAGGTTGGTCTCAAACTTCCGAATCCTGAACTCAAGTCATCCGCCTGGCTTCGGCCTCCCAAAGTGCTAGGATTACAGGCGTGAGCCGCTGCACCGCCCGGCCGAGAAGAATCTTACCAGTTCTCATCTTCCTTCCTCCCGTTTAAATGCTCACATCAAGTCGCTGGCTTTCCTCACCACGTGCTCTCCAGAACAAGGTCGGCTTTCCTTCGCAATTTGTGCGAGGCCCTACCTAAGGCCCTCCCAGCCCACCTCGGGAAGCTGAAGCTTTCCAGTTCTCATTAGAGCTTGACAAACGCTCCGAAGGTTATAGGCCTCGGGTGCTTCCCAAAGGCCCCCTGCGGCCTGGCCAGGAAAGACCCACCGGCGCTCTCTGCCTGGAGCACTTCAACTCACTGCAAGACCTGGTCCCAATGTCCCCTCTGCAGCATTCTCTGACCTCACCGTTCCGTCCCCGCCAAGCCCCTGCCAAGTGAAAAATACGAGTTAAAGCGTCCTGGCTGTGGATGGAGTCAGACCCGGCTCTACCCCTTGCTCTCTGTGTGACCTTGGTCTCGGCCTCCTCCACTGTAAAATGAGGACACCAGCCTGGAGGTGAGGACCCATGGGTCGAGGACGCGGGTAGGGAGCCCGTTCTGGCTCGGGGCAAAGTTTGGCGGGTCCATTCTGACTCTTGATCCCCATTAGCCACGTCTCGCCCTCGCCTCTCGTGCCCGTGCCCTAAGCGACCCTCCACTCCCTCAATAATCCAGCCGCACCCATTCGGCGGGAAAGGGCCTGCCGGGTGGGGAGGGCGCTGAGGGTCACGCGAACACCGCAGATGACAGACTGCGCGGTCATTTAGCAAATCTGCAAGAGAAAACAGGGGATCCTTGGAGAGGGGAGGATTAGCCATGGCAGAACCAGACCAGTCTCCACCCAAGGTCACAGTGCCCGCCCGACGGGCAGCGAGCAGCAGGGAGTCTCCCCGAGGCCCCGCCCCGCGAGGGCGCCCAGCCTCCCTGGGCCTTGAGTCAGAGTGCGTTGCCTTTAAGACGTTCTGGAAAGTCACCGCGTCCGTGGGCGGGGAACCAGGCGCGGCGCGTTTTGTCCCTCGCGGGCCGCCGTGGGCTGGGCCGGGCGCGAGGGTGGGGCAGGGAAACGGCGGCGGGGTCAAAGGCCACGGCGCGCACCACGTGGGCCGGTGACTCCGTCCTTCCCTCAGCAGCCGCGGCGCGCAGGGCACTTGGGTTAGTGGCGCGGCGGGCGGCGCGGACAGCCGAGGCGGACGCCCGCTCCCGCCACCATGGTTATCAAGACGGACGAGTTGCCGGCGGCCGCCCCGGCCGACAGCGCCCGGGAACACGGCTCGCAGGCCGGGGGCAAGGGGCGGCCGGGCGCGGCCGGTGAGCGGGGCCAGGGCCAGCGGGCCGCTGGGCGGGGGGCGCCGGACCAGGGCGGGCGGGTTCGGGACTCCGCGGGGATCGCCGCCTTCCCTCCGCGTCGGGCCCGGTTGTATCTCGCTGGGGCCTTCACCGGGTCGCCCCCGCGCTGAAGGTCACCTTCACAGTCGCCCCCGGCTGCGGCCCGGGTTTCGCACGTGCGGTCCCGTGGAGGGCAGCCTCGGCTGGCACCCTCGGCGGGCACACGCGCGCCTCATCGCGGGGACACGTGCGCGCACACGCGGTTTCGGGGTGCGCCGCCGCCGCAGACCGAAAGAATCGGCGGCCCCACCCCCTCTGCGCCCGAGCATGGGAGCTCTCTGAGCTGGGGTCGCTCCGACGTTTGCGGGACAGCCCCCTTCGGCACCTGCTCCGCGGCGGCCTCCCAGGCATCCCCTGTGCGCAGGGCTGCAGCCCTGGGAGTGAAGCTCCGCTCGAGGCTTCCCAGGCTTGGTTTGTGGGAAGAGCACGAGGTGCGGGGTGTGCGTTGTGAGGGGCGTCCCTGGTTCATGCCCTGAGGCCAGGCTATAACCGCAGGTCTTCAGGCTGTGGCGGAGACTCTCAGGTGTGTTGGCCTGCTCGGCCGACCTGGTGTAGGGGGCGTCTGCCTTTGCATGGGGCAGAGCCAAACTCCTTGGCAGGGGGAAGTGTTTGTGCCAGAACTTGATCATTAACCTGCCTTATTGCGAAAAGTGGGTCAGACCAGAGTTGCTGTTTTTAAGGCAAAGGTCGTTAGTGTGGAGTCAAGCTCCCAGCGATCCCCCATGGGGGCTGTATGGTGGTGACTGTGGCAGTGGCTGCAGCTTGTCTCGGGTGGGGCCTGCTTTCCCTTTCTCCTGAGCCCCTTCTCTTCCTTCTGTTCCCTCCACCGTGTCTCAGACTCCAGCCTTGGGGCTGGAATCCCCTTCCCAGGCCCTCAGTCGTCATCTTCCTCAGGCCCTCTTTGCTCTGGGTGGCAGTGGAGGTGCAGAGCTACTCCTGTCCCCCAGTCCCTCCCTCCTCCGTCGACTGTCCTCAGTTGGGACTTGTGGTCTTAACGCCTCATCATCTCCCTTCCTAGCTTCAGTGAGTGCGCCAGGGCTGACTTGGGAATCAGGATGGGGACAGCGTTCAGCCCTCTGACCCTGTTCCCATCATAGCGGAGTTGCCTTGGGGTGAGGGACAGGTGCTGGGGCAGTACTGCTGATTGTCTAGACAAGGCCAAGGTTTGGGCAGAAGAGCAGATGCTCATCGCCCCAACCTACCAGGCTTTGTGCTGATGTGGCTCTGAATCAGTGGGGGCAGGCTGGATGAGAGGAGGTTGGCTGATTTCCCCTCTAGCAGAGACCCGAAGAGTCGAAGTGACTTGCCCAAGGTCACACAGCGATTTAGCTGTTAAGGGAAGTGTTTGGATTCCAGCTCATGGCCAGCAAGCCAAGGCTGCCGTGGCCTGGCCCAGAGGAAGCTGGGACAGGCGTGTTGGTTTGGATCCCGTGCTGAGAACTAGGGGGCTGACGAGCGTCTGTTGGAGGATTTCTGTGAGGGAGTCAGTGAAGCCCCTTCCTAACTCTGCTGGGGGTGGGGGGGCTCTGTCGGGGGTAAACTGAGTCAGGGAAGGGCACAGCTATTTGTTTTGGGGAAACTGGGAGCATACTCGTGGGCAGGACATGGGCTCCTACGTCCCTGGGAAGGTAGTACAGCTAGCTAGGACTTACGTTACAGCCAGCCCGGATCTATTGAAAGAAGGAAGGAGCCTTAATGAAGACCCCCCAGCTGGGGCCCACCTGAGCATCAGAACCAAGGCTTCTGACCTCTGAGATCCAGCTCTGGAAGGCTCTTCAGCCCCCTTAGGAAGGAGCTGATCTAGGCCATTGAGGGTCGGGGGCAAGGGTTGGTTACCTTCCTGGGAATACAGCGGCTTTTAGGGGTTAAGAGAACAGGCAGGTTTTTCAGGTCCACAGTGGTGCGTCAGGTTCCTTCTGCCCAGGGGAGGGCTCCCTGGAGTTGAGGCCCAGAGGGGGAGGAGGAGGAGGCTGGCAGCTGGGGAAGGAGTCTAGGGGCTTATGGGAGCTCCGCAACAGGATCTTGGATGGGATGTGGGGAGAGCAGCCTGAGGAACTCTGAACTGTCCTCAGGCCCTGAACGCCTGCCTCTGGCCTGGGTGGGACAGGAAGGAGGCAAACAGGTGCCTGGTCTGTAGGTTCTTCCATAGGCCGCCTGCCCGCCCCATTGCCTTTCCCTGAAGCCCTGGGCTCCCGGGACGGGTGATGCACCTTTTCGGACCCTACTTCCTGCTGGAGCCTCACTTGCTGAGGCCTTGGCTGGGGCGTGGCCTGGCCCTGGCACAGTCTTCTGAGTGAGATTGTGCCTGGCTTGGGCAGCACACAGGTCCTCTGGGAGGCCTAAGTTTCTTTTCTAGTTCCTCCTCTCTGCCGCCTTTGAGCTCCCGGCGCCTCCAGGCCGGGGCAAGGGTGTGCTTTGTCTCTTCACTAGCATCTGAGTTTGCGTGTATGCAGAGTGCTGTTGGGGCACGGCTCTCCCGCTCTGCAGAAGACCTCCTTTTCCCCTCCCCTAAAGCTCACATCCTCAGAGGTGCTCCTGGACTATGAGAGGAGGGAGTATTGGCCCAAGGGTGTAGAGGCCTTGGGGAGTGCTGTGACTGGGATAGTTCTGCTCCCCCCCCCCCGAGTAGAGGCTGAGGCCTGGACGAGGAGGCAGGTGCAGCCTACCTGTGGGTGCTGCCGGGCCCCTCGGGAGGGGGTGGGTGGGCTGCGCTGAGTGGGAGTGGGTCAGTGGGAGCGGGTCCATGGGAGCGGGTCGGCGGGAGCAGGTCGGTGGGAGCGGGTGGGTAGCCCGCGCTCAGTGGGAGTGACTCAAAAGCCATGGGCTTGGGCGTCTGACACTCCTGTTTTTTCTTTCCTTTTTTTTTTAAACTTAATCCCAAATGTGATAGTAACACCTGGTTTTTTCTTGCTCTGGGTTGGCTCCTCTTGCCTCTGTGACCTTGGGCAGCTGCTTCCTAGCCTTCTGGAGCCTCAGTTTCCTCAGGTGAGATGGGCTGGCACGGCGGTTTAGGGAGCTGCCGTGGGCTGGGCCTAGCGTGAGTCCTGGCTCTGTGGTAATCAGAGTGCAGGTGGTTGTCAACACTTCTCTGGGGTCACTGCCAGGCTGCCCTGCCCCACCCCTCTCTCCGGAGGGTTAGGGTGTATTTCAGGAGAGGGTAGGAGCAGAGGGGCTCTGTCTAGGCCTGGTCCTTCTCCTCTGGTCATTGTGTGAGACCCAGAACCTTCCATGGGGGCTGTGAAGCAGCCCAGGGTCTGCCTGATCCCTGGTCCTGGAGGGGAGGGGATGGAGTGAGAGCCTGGCTCCCGCCCACCCTGGGTAGGGTGGATGCTGGGGCAGCCCTTACTGGGCACTGGCAGCATGTCAGAGGCCCTGGGAAGGCGCCCTGGCCAGCTGGGCACCTCCTCCCCCGCCGTGCGGCCACTGGCCTCTTGCTGCCAGCTCTGTTCTCCCCTGGGAGAGACTTGGTTCCCTCCTGGCAGAGCCGGGGCTGCTGGGAAGGGAAGATGGAGCCTGCCAGCTTCTTGATGGAGCCTGGAGGCCAGGGGCACGGGTGCAGTTGTCCTCTGGGAAGCTGGGGGCCCATCCCCCTCCCTTCCACCAGAACCAGTGACTCCCAGGAAGGGGCTGGCAGCCAGGTCACCTGCAGGGGGCAGCAGGAGCCAGAGGTCCCAGCCAGGCCCTTGGCCCAGGGACAGTGGGGTGCTCAGTGTCTGGGACTGGTGGGCAGAGGCAGCCACCTTATGGCCTGGACCCGGGTCTGTGCCAGCTGTTGGCGGCAGCTGGCAGAAGCGGTCCTGTTCACCCCCACTGGGATGGGAGCGGAGGAGAGGACCCCCTTGCTGGGCCCTGCCCCTGCCAGCCAGTCTCCTAGGCCCTCAATCTTGAGGGGTCCAGGTACCCCAAATTCTGGGTTCTCCGATCCCCCTAGCGGCTTTGCCGGCAGTGACCCCCTCTCTAGGGGGCATAGGGAGGTGGGCCTGAGTGCTGATAGCAGCTCCCCCTGGGGTCCTGGGGCCACCGGGTTCTCCTGGCCCACAGCCGTCCTTCTGGCCGACCTTGAGCGGGATGCCAGGCAGGGGGAGTGTGCCCTTCCTGGGGCTGCCATGGCAGGCCTGGCCCCACTGAAACCCGAAGCCAGCCGGAGCTCCAGCCCCGGGCCGACTGGCTGCATTAGGGCAAGGGTAGCGGCAGAGGCTGGAACAAGGAACCCGGGCAATGCTGGGGCTGAGCTGGAGAGCTGGCTGCCTTGCTGCCACGGCCATCCTGAGACTCCAGAGCCGAGGGGAGGGCAGCTGCCAACTGCACCAGGTGAGCACCGGGACCTGGTGAGCCAGCCAGCTGCCTGCGGGGGAGATCGCTCAGCCTTCATCCAGGGGTGGGGAGACCTTCGGGGTTCCTAGGAGGAAGGATTAGGGTAAAACATGCTGTCCTGGGGAGAGGAGGCCCCTTGGGAGCCAGCTGCATTCCTTTGAAACGGGATAGGGAATAGGTACCCCCTGAGGGTCGTCTCCCTGGGCTGGGGAAGGAGAGTGGGAGCCGCGGCCACCTTGCCTTGTCGTCCCTCCTTTCTGTCCTCCCATTCCAGACATGCGAAAGAACACAGGCTGTCTCTGTCTAGGTATTTGACTCCCCACTTTTGGGATCTCATAGCTCAAAACTGCTGTTCTATATTGGGTGGGGGCCCTTCCTGCTTCTCCCCTTATTCCAGGGGCTTGGCAGCCAGCACAGCCTTTCTCAGGGACCCTGTGGGGGCAGTTCCTCCACCTGGCTGCCCTGCCTCTTGCTGTTTGCAAGCTGACCGACCACCGCCCCGGCTGTCTTTCTGCTCTGTCACTAGAGTCAGGCAGGTGTGTGGGGCTGCTCACGTGCGAGGGGATTGGGGGTGCCCTTCCTGGGGCGGTTGGATCCTGGAAGGGAGGTCTTTGTACATCCTCGTGGTTCCTGGGAGTCCACTGCAGGCTTGGAGAGGGTGGGGTGGAGAGCCATGACATGCACAGTTACTGAAGGTCCTCAGTGGCCAGAGTTGAGGGAGTGCCGCGGCGTAGGGTGCGGGCTGCAGGAGGGAGTCTGGGGCCCATTCTGACTTGGTTGACCTTAGGCCAGGCTCCGAGCCTTTCTGGGCTTCAAATACCCCTCTTTGGGGTAAGGGGGAAGAGACTCTGAGCTCTTAGAGGTCCTGTTTCTCGTTTGCTCGTGGGGATCCAGGGAAAGGGAGCGACTCTCTCCAGGCCCCCCGGTCTCTGCCTTTCCGTACTGGCCTCATCCCTTCCCTGAGGCTCCTGCTCCGTGTTTCTGGTGGGTCCGGATTGGGACCACACAGTTCTGGGAAAGGCACCTGTCCCCGCTCCTGAGAGCCGGGTGGGGAAGGGGAGGTGGGGTCTAGATGGGATGGGCAGAGCTGGGCGAGCTCTTCTTTCTGGAAGGGAACCCAGGCACTCCTCAGAGTTGGGACCGTTGAACTTCAAGCCAAGCCAGGCAGGTGAGCCTGGCCCATGGACAGATCCTGGGGGCCAAGGTCCTCATCTCCTAGATGGGTGCCCAGGCAGGCCCGTGTCTGCTGGAGGGTTACTGAGAGGCGATCCTTGGCTCCTCAGCGGAACAGGGGGTTCTCCTTTGTTCCACTGGTGCCTGGGTAGGAATGCAAGGTTTTGTCACCTGCTCCCCACCCTGGAGCATGTGGATTGGGTGCTGTCTTCAAATATTGGATGTAGCTAGAGGTTTGCAGTAAGTACTTTATTTGTTGCCTTTTTTGTTGAGCCTGGGCAAGATAGAAGGTGGTGGGTAGAGCTGCTGGTGAGGACGCCACCCTGGGTGCAGCCGAATGTCTCTGGGAATGAAAGGGGGAGGGAGTGTGATTCTGCCATTAAGGGTCATTTGGGCAGGCTGTGGAAAAGGTTTATTTCTCCTAGGCCTTGAAGGGTGAGTCAGTGTTTGCTGTACAGAATGGGATGTCAGGGGCAGCACAGACACAGAAGCACAGCGGTGGGAGGGCGGTGGGAGGGCTGTGGGCGGTACCAGGCTTGCATGGTGTGGTGTCCTTAGACCTCAGCAGGGAGCAGGCAGGAGCTGAGGCTGACTTCAGGTGGGTGCCTGAGAGCGCTGGCCTGAGAAGCTTGGTCTTGTAAGCAGTGGGCTTCCTAGGAGGGTTGCAGGTGGCACTGCTGAAATAGAGGAAATGCCTGCCCTAGGGCAGTGGCTGCAGAGGCCGGGTCCCGTGGGTGGGTTGGGAGATTTAGGGTGGGTGACTAGATAGAGCAGGTGCCAGTTTGAGGAGGAAGATGAGTTCTGTCCCTGCAAGACGAGGCTTCAGTGATGCCTCAGGGACAGCCACATGTTGATGCCTGGGAGGCAGCGGTCTCCTTGGTCCAAAAGGCTGGAGAGAGGACAGGATTGGCCGTGTGAGCCACGGGGCAGGAGTGTATGGGAGGGGGTGGGGTCAGAAACAGGAGAGGCTGGGCCTAGGCACTCCCCTGCAGCCCCCCTGCAGCCCAGGACCACAGCTCAGGAGGGATGGAAGAGGATGGAGCTGGAGAGGGAGGGGCAAGGGCACTGTGTGGGGTCAGAGAAGAGGAGAGGAAGAGGGGAACTGCTGCTGGGAAGCTAGGTGTGTTAGGGCCGGAGGAGACCCTCGGGCTTGGCTTGAAGGGTGGCTTTGGTGACCCTGGGGAGAGTGGTTTGGGACATGGGTTCAGGTGCAAGCCATACCACAGTGGGCCAGGGAACAGTGGCTGGGAGGGGCGGCTGGGTGTGGAAGTGGCCTGCAGGTGCACGGAGGGCGAGGCGCGACCGTGAGGCTGGGACTCTCGAGGGCATGCAGATGCCTTTCCAGAAGGCACGTGTCCCCGTGTGGGGTCAGGCGGACAGCCCCGCCGACCAGCGAGGCTGCCTGATTCTGACCCGTTCTTGTCACCCGCAGAGCTGCCATCAGTCATGCTCTTAAACGGGGACTGCCCAGAGAGCCTGAAGAAGGAGGCGGCGGCGGCCGAGCCACCCAGGGAAAATGGGCTTGACGAGGCCGGCCCGGGAGATGAGACCACCGGCCAGGAAGTCATTGTCATTCAGGACACGGGCTTTTCTGTGAAGATCCTCGCCCCTGGGATCGAGCCCTTCTCCCTGCAGGTAAGATGGAGGAACGGGTGCTGGGGGCCAGGCCTGAGCCTGCTGGGGAGGGTGAGCTGGAAAGCTCAGCCTTGCTCGTGCTCCTACCGGCCCCATTTTGTGGCAGGAAACTGAGGATCCCGTGCCCTCCCTAGAGTCACTCAGCTAGCGTGGTGGACGTGGGAATCGAGCCCAGGGTCAGGTCGTTGCCCCATTGCTAGAGGACAGCAACCAGCTGGGCCTGCCAGCCCTATGTGGGGAGGGGAGTGATAGTGGCTGGGAAGTGTTGGCATCCCAGGACTCCCCAGCCTCTTGCTCTGTGCCCTCAGGCAAGTCACCTCTCTCTGGGCCGTGATTTTACCATCTGCCAGAGGGGAGGGTAGTATTGGGTTATCTCCAAGGGCAGAGCCAGCGTGGAGGTCTTGCAAGCCGGTGACTCAGTGGGGAACGAGACAGGGTCGTCGTATGTCTCGGCACCCGCAGGCTTGGGCCCCAGAGCACCCCTTCTGGAAGGGGAAAGCCATTTGCCCCAGGCACCTTAGCACTGGGCAAGGCCGGGGGCGAGCCTGCCGTCTTCTGTCCCGCTGTTCTTCATCTCCCTTCTCTGCTCGGGCATTGCTCTGGGTCTGCAGGCCGAGTCGGTGGGCCAGGCTCCAGGCTGCACACACAGGGCATGGCATGTGTGGACATGGCCTGGATTTAAAAGCCAGAAAGTGGGATAGCCGATATTCGAGTATTTGGGGCATTTATTCTGGGGACCAAGGTACTTTGGGCTGGGGACAAGGGGATATTGTCCTTGCTGTCCGCTACGTGGCCTCTCACCGGGGCGGTTGGGGCCTTCTCTCCCCGCTACGTGCTCTCTCACCGGGGTGGGCGGGGCCTTCTCCCTGCAGGTGTCCCCCCAGGAGATGGTGCAGGAGATTCACCAGGTGCTCATGGACCGGGAGGACACGTGTCACCGCACCTGCTTCTCACTGCACCTGGATGGCAACGTGCTGGACCACTTCTCGGAGCTGCGCAGCGTCGAGGGGCTGCAGGAGGGCTCTGTGCTGCGTGTGGTGGAAGGTTGGTCTGGAAGTTGGACAGCCTGCCCGGGGGAGGGCCCACGGAGGCAGAGGCAGGCAGCACCATCCATGCCAGGGTCCCTGTGTCACGGATGAGCTCATGGAGGCAGGATTGGAGCACAGATCTGCTTCTCAGGCCAGCACACCTATATCTGCCAACTTCACGGCCCATGGGTTAAAGAACAGAGCCGTGGGCTGGGCATGGTGGCTCACGCCTGTAATCCCAACACTTTGGGAGGCCAAGGCGTGTGGATCACCTGAGGTCAGGAGTTGGAGACTTGCCTGGCCAACATGGTGAAACCCCATCTCTACTAAAAATACAAAAAGTTAGCTGCGCGTGGTGGCAGGTGCCTGTAATCCCAGCTACTCGGGAGGCTGAGGCAGGAGAATCACTTGAACCTGGGAGGCAGAGGTTGCAGTGTGCCCGGATCGTGCCACTGCACTCCAGCATGGGCAACAAGAACGAAACTCCGTCTCAAAAAAAAAAACAAAACAAAAGAACAGAGCCGTGATTCTAAAAAAAAAAAATCAGGCAGTACCATCCCAGGGCGTGAAGTCAGCGCAGTTCAGTTCTGTAGAGATCCATGAGAAGTCCCAAACGTTTCCTAGCCCTAGAGTGGGGAGGTCGGGCACGGGGAGGTGCCATCCGGTTGGTCTGTGGCCTCGAGTTTTCTGGGTAGAAGCTGCTTGGGTTCCACCCCAGGGCCTGTCCGCCTGTTGAGAGCAGTGACGGAAAAGGTCTGTAGCTCAACAGCGCCCACAGTTGATCACGGAACCTCTCCCCTCCACCAAAAGAACTGCCATTAAAATCCCATGAAACCACATAGGGGCAGTGTTGACATTGGGGGCCTTGGAAAGTCCTCAGGCCACCCCTACATGAGGCTGCCTCGGGAGAGCAGGGCAAGGCTGTGGTGTGGAAGTCCCACAGCTCCAAAAGCCCTGCCCAGCCGACACACTGGCGCACAAAAGCAGGCAGCCTTGTGGACGCCTGAGGCCTGTGTGTGCTTCAGAGGCATTTGGCAGAAAGTTCTTTATAAACAAAGATCCCTGCTCACCAGTAGGCAGAGTGTGTGTGTGTGTGTGTTTGTGGTGTCAAAACCAGAACTCCAGCTTATGTGTTCACAGTGGAATTTGAAAACGGAAACCTAAAGTTGAAAATTAAAACCACTGTGTTAGCACCTCCAAAACCTGTTTTGTGCTGGGCAGGTTGTTCAGGGTGCAGGGCCCTGGTAACGCCATACCCTCCCTGCCTTCCTGACAGAGCCGTACACGGTGCGTGAGGCCCGCATCCACGTGCGCCATGTCCGAGACCTGCTCAAGAGCCTGGACCCATCCGATGCCTTCAACGGGGTTGACTGCAACTCCTTGTCCTTCCTGAGTGTCTTCACCGACGGCGACCTGGGAGGTGCGGGAGGCACTGGGGCCGGGGATTGGGCCAAAGGGCGGGGAGCACGGAGGTGGGGGGCTGGAGAAGGGGCCGAGGGGCCTGGGCCTGAGGCACCCGGACCACGGCCATCAGGAGGTAGGGAGACAGCTGGCCCTGGGTGGCCCTGTGCTGACCACCAGCCTCGGGTCCCTCAGACAGCGGGAAGCGGAAGAAGGGCTTGGAGATGGACCCCATCGACTGCACACCACCCGAGTACATCCTGCCAGGGAGCCGGGAGCGGCCACTGTGTCCCCTGCAGCCCCAAAACCGTGACTGGAAGGTAGGATCCTGGGGGAGGGAGGAAGAGGGTCCCTGGCGGGGTGGAGGCCCCACACCAGAGGCCTGGCCCCTCAGACTCGGCCGCTCCCGAAGCCCTTGCAGTGCCTGAAAGTACTCACCATGAGCGGATGGAACCCGCCCCCGGGGAACCGGAAGATGCACGGGGACCTCATGTACCTGTTTGTGATCACAGCCGAGGACCGGCAAGTCAGCATCACCGCGTCCACACGGGGCTTTTACCTGAATCAGTGAGTCCCTGCCAGCCCACCACACCCCCCTGCCGTGCCAGCCGTCCTGGGTCTGGGCAGACACCTGGGCCCCCGCTCAGTGCCCGCCCTCTCCCTGCAGGTCCACAGCTTATCACTTCAACCCCAAGCCCGCCAGCCCCCGCTTCCTAAGCCATTCCCTAGTGGAGCTGCTCAACCAGATCAGCCCGACCTTCAAGAAGAACTTCGCTGTGCTGCAGAAGAAAAGGTAGTGCCTTTGTCCCCTCCCGCCTTGTCTCATGGCACACGGGGGCATGGGGTGAGCCGGCCCACCTGCACTCCAGTGCTTCTGTCTGAAGAAACCGCCCTGGGCCCCCAGTGTTGGAGTCCCCGCTCTAGGGAGCTGTCGGCCAGTGCCGAGACAGCAGCCGCAGGAGAGGCGCCCGTGCACTTCCATCTGGCTCCAGGGCAGTGTCTCAGGGTGGGAGATGCCGGAGCAGGCGGGGGCCTCAGAAAAGGGGCCCGTGGAAGGGCTCTGAGCTTGGTGGGCTGCCCCATCTCCCCCTCCCCTGCCTGCCACAGGGTCCAGCGCCACCCGTTCGAGAGGATCGCCACCCCATTCCAGGTGTACAGCTGGACAGCCCCCCAGGCGGAGCATGCCATGGATTGCGTGCGTGCAGAGGACGCCTACACCTCGAGGCTGGGCTATGAGGAGCACATTCCTGGACAGGTGCCTGCAACCTGGCCCTGCCCTCGCTGGGCACCCCTGCCCTCCTGGGTGCTGGGCTGGTTCCGTGCACTTCCCTGGAGGCCCCATGCTTGACTTCATTTGGGAGTCTGGGGCTCTTCTCAGGAAGGTAGAAGGAGCGACTTCCGGGAGCAGGTCACAGGGCACAGGCTGAGCTCGTTTTTCCCTCCCTGATCTCTCTGCAGACCCGAGACTGGAATGAGGAGCTGCAGACGACGAGGGAGCTGCCTCGCAAGAACCTGCCTGAGCGGCTGCTCCGAGAAAGGGCCATATTCAAGGTGCCTGCAGCCTCTGCTGACCGGCAGTCTGAGGCCCGCTGTCCACCTGCTGACGGGTTTTCTCATGGAGAGGAGGAAAGCAAGGGAGGCAGGGGCAGCCCTAACCCTGTCAGGTTCCCCGAAGGCCAGTCAGCGTCTCCCGCAGGGTCTGCTAGCCTTCCGCCTCCCAGCAGACCATCCCAGTACCTTTCTCTGGCCTCTCTGAGGCTTTGAGTCCCTGGAAGGAGCGGGCCCTACTTCCCATAGGGACTGAGTGTCCAGGGCCGTGCAGCTTCCCGCCCTCTGTGACTGCTGCGGGGCTTTTGCCTGGGCGAGCACTGGCCGGCCATGGCCCTTCTAGGGCGGGTGCTCATTTGCATAACACTTTTAGTTTGCTGGGGTTTAAAAGTTATTAGTGCTGGGTTACTAAGAGAAATGAGGAAAAGCAGTTGCTTAAGAAAAAAAAAATCTCAGGCCGGCTTCAGTAGCTCATGCCTGTAATCCCAGCACTTTGGGAGGCCGAGGCGGGCGGATCACAAGGTCAGGAGTTCAAGACCAGCCTGGCCAATATGGGGAAACCCCATCTCCACTAAAAATACAAAAATTAGCTGGGTGTGGTGGCGCATGCCTGTAGTCCCAGCTACTCGGGAGTCTGAGACAGGAGAATTGCTTGAACCCAATAGGCGGAGGTTGCAGTGAGCCGAAATTGCATCACTGCACTCCAGCCTGGGCGACAGAACAAGACTACGTCTCAAAAAAAAAAAAAAGAAATCTCAGCCAGGCACAGTGGCTCACGCCTGTAATCCTAGCACTTTGGGAGGCTGAGACAGGCAGATCACTTGAGCCCAGGAGTTGGAAACCAGCCTACGAAACATGGTGAAACCTCGTCTCTGCAAAAAATACAAAAGATTAGCCAGGCATGGTGGCATGTGCCTGTAGTCCCAGCTACTCGGGAGGCTGGAGTGGGAGGATGGCCTGAGCCAGGGGAAGTCGAGGCTTCAGTGAGCTCGGATCTCGTGCCGCTGCATTCCAGCCTTGGCAACAGCGTGATACCCTGTCTGAAAACAACCAACCTCCCATAGTTATACTGCCTAGAGATGATAATTGTAGAAACAAAAACTCATTTCTCGGGTACCGACTTCACCAGAGATGGTGCCAAGTGCGTTATAGAGACTATTTCCTATAATATATTGGACAACTTGTAAAGGTCAATACCTTTATCTGTTCAAGTTCACCTGGCACATAACTGGTGGATCCCAAACCTGCGCACGCTTGTTAATCACTAAGCCCTGCTGTCTCCCTCAGCACAAGTGTATTCTCAAAACATGGGGGTTTTGGTTTGTTTGCGCTTTTTTAGAAATGGAGTCTCACTCTGTCCCCCAGGCTGGAGTGCAGTGGTGTGATTTCGGCTCACTGTAACCTCCACCTCCCGGGTTCAAGCAATTCTCCTGCCTCAGCCTGTCGGGTGGCTGGGACTACAGGCGCGCGCCACCTCGCCTGGCTGATTTTTTTTGTATTTTTATTAGAGATGGGGTTTCACCATATTGGTCAGGCTGGTCTCGAACTCGTGACCTCAAGTGGTCTGACCGCCTCGGCCCCTCAAAGTGCTGGGATTACAGGTGTGAGCCACCGCGCCCGGCCAAAACATGGTTTTCTTGCCCTTTTCTACATATGAGGAAACTGAGGCTCCGGGTCCTTGGGTTTCCAAGGCAGGCCCGGTTGCCTCCGCGGTCTAGGTGCGTGCGCTTGGCCAGGTGGATGCAGGCTCTTGTGGGCGCGGCCTCTAACCCTGCCCTCCTCGACCCCCGCCAGGTGCACAGCGACTTCACCGCGGCAGCCACCAGGGGCGCCATGGCCGTCATTGACGGCAACGTGATGGCCATCAACCCCAGCGAGGAGACCAAGATGCAGATGTTCATCTGGAACAACATCTTCTTCAGCCTGGGCTTCGACGTCCGAGACCACTACAAGGACTTCGGGGGGGACGTGGCGGCCTACGTGGCGCCCACCAACGACCTGAATGGCGTCCGCACGTACAACGCGGTGGACGTGGAGGGGCTGTACACGCTGGGCACGGTGGTGGTGGATTACCGCGGCTACCGGGTCACGGCCCAGTCCATCATCCCCGGCATCCTGGAGCGGGACCAGGAGCAGAGCGTCATCTACGGCTCCATCGACTTCGGCAAGACCGTGGTGTCACACCCGCGGTACCTGGAGCTGCTGGAGCGCACGAGTCGGCCCCTCAAGATCCTGCGGCACCAGGTGCTCAACGACCGTGACGAGGAGGTGGAGCTCTGCTCCTCGGTCGAGTGCAAGGGCATCATTGGCAACGACGGGCGCCACTACATCCTCGACCTGCTGCGCACCTTCCCCCCGGACCTCAACTTCCTGCCCGTGCCTGGCGAGGAGCTGCCTGAGGAATGCGCCCGCGCCGGCTTCCCCCGCGCCCACCGGCACAAGCTCTGCTGCCTGCGCCAGGAGCTGGTGGACGCCTTCGTGGAGCACAGGTGAGGGGCGGCCCTGCCGGACCAGGGCCGGGGCCAGCTGCAGGGAGTGCGGGCGCCCTGGGTGGATCCGGGGTTGGGTCCTTGAAGGGAGAAGCGCTGGAGAGTGAAGAAGGGCTCCGTCTAGCCACAGTCATTGGAGACCCGTCCCCACCTGCCCTGCTGTCAGGCTCCCGAGCGCAGAAACCCGGGCTGCAGACTCGCGAGCAGCCAGGCGGGTAATGTGGCTGTGGCGGACACTGTTCTCTTAAGGAGCACTTGGAAGTCTGGGTGGCTGTGACTGTCCCCGTGCTGGGGCGGGCAGGTGGGGCACCGGGGGTCCCCGCCGCTGGTGTTTAGTGCTTAGGAAATGGGGAAATGGCCATGTCAGAGGTCCCACAGCATGAGTAACTCTCAAATGCCAGTGGCTTCCTGTCACTGTTGAGAGCCCTGACCTGGATGGGGAGCTCCTCTTTTCCCATACCCTCCAGAACGCAGCTGCCTTTTTTTTTTTTTTTCTGAGACGGAGTTTCACTCTTGTCGCCTAGGCTGGAGTGCAATGGCACGATCCCGGCTCACCGCAACCTCTGCCTCCCGGGTTCAAGTGATTCTCCTGTCTGAGCCTCCCGAATAGCTGGTATTACAGGCGTGCACCACCACGCCCAGCTAATTTTTTGTATTTTTAGTAGAGACGGGGTTTCTCCATGGTGGTCAGGCTGGTCTCGAACTCCCAACCTCAAGTGATCTGCCTGCCTCGTCCTCAAAGTGCTGGGATTACAGGCGTGAGCCACCACGCCCGGCCGCCTTTTTCTTCCTGTCTTGGGAGATCTTGGTTTTTCTGCGTTGACTCATGCACACCGGCCAGGAGGTGCCCTATGCCTGCGGGGTGTGGAGCCCCAGCTGCCGGGAGCCGTGGGCCAGCAGAGCTCCTCTCCCCGATGTCCAGCTCCTGCTCTGCCCTGTTTCCTCTGCTCCAGGTACCTCCTCTTTATGAAGCTGGCCGCCTTGCAGCTGATGCAGCAGAACGCCAGCCAGCTGGAGACCCCCTCCTCCCTGGAAAATGGTGGTCCTTCCTCCTTGGAGTCCAAGTCTGAGGATCCTCCAGGACAGGAGGCGGGAAGTGAGGAGGAGGGTAGCAGCGCCAGCGGCCTGGCCAAGGTGAAGGAGCTGGCAGAGACCATCGCCGCAGACGACGGCACAGGTGGGGCTGCTGCAGATGGCCGGGAGAGAGCCCGGGCTGGCCCTGCCAGGGTGGCTTATGACCCCCACCTGGGAGAGGCTGGCAGACATCTCTGCAAGGAGCTAGGGGGCGAGGCTTGGCGCAGCCCAGCTCCACCGGTGGCAGAGGGGACCCGTGTCTCATGGAGCCATGTCTCCACAGCAGACCCTCGGAGCCGGGAGGTGATCCGCAACGCGTGCAAGGCGGTCGGCTCCATCAGCAGCACCGCCTTCGACATTCGCTTCAATCCTGACATCTTCTCACCAGGCAGGTGGTGGGGGCCGGCCAGCGCAGGAGCCCTCCAGGGCCAGAGCTTCGCTGGGGGGCCTGGGCCCTTGGGGCTGGTGGGTTTGTCCCCCATCTGAGCGCTTCCCCCGCCAGCGCCAGGCGGCATTTGTCTTGCCACTGCCTGGCTCAGCCTCTCTGCTCTCCCTCCTCCAGGGGTTCGTTTCCCTGAGTCCTGCCAGGATGAAGTTCGGGACCAGAAGCAGCTGCTGAAGGACGCGGCTGCCTTCCTGCTCTCCTGCCAGATCCCTGGCTTGGTGAGGGAGGGGCTGCGGGGCTGGGTGGGGCTTGTGTGGAGGGTGCTGGTCCCTCATCTGTCTCCGACTTGGAGGCCCATGAACACAGGCTCGCAGGAGTGACTTTTTCAGCTTTCCCTGAGTGGGCATCCCCGTTTGACAGATGGGGAGCCTGACCCCCAGAGGTCAAGGGCACAGGCCCTGCTGAGCCCACCGTGTGGGCTGGCAGCTGGTAATCCAGTCTTCTGAGCCCTGGATGGTGGCATGGCTGGGGGACGGGGCCAGAGCTCAGTGGGGGCTGCCCATCCTCCTCCTCCTCCCGCAGGCTCTGTGTCTGGTTCCAGGATGCTGGGTGCTCCCCCAACACCGTGGCCTCCAAGCCTCAGGACACGGGGCTGGGGGTCAAGTAGTGCCCCCAAGCGGGCACCTCTGCTTCTCCCACATGGTTAGAGGGGGCCTGTACCACCACCGGGCTCTTGGTTCTTGGCCTGCGCTCCTGCCAGAGGCTGGGCACATTCTGACATCCTGACTGGGAGCTGGAGCCTTCGGGGTCCTTCTCCAGGGCCTCCCAGGATAGCTGTGCTCCCCCAGAAGGACTCAGTTGGGTGGAGGCAGAGGAGCTGGGTGGGGGCCTGAGCTGCTGCAGCCCGCAGGTGAAGGACTGCATGGAGCACGCGGTCCTGCCCGTGGACGGGGCAACGCTGGCAGAGGTGATGCGCCAGCGGGGCATCAACATGCGCTACCTGGGCAAGGTGCTGGAGCTGGTGCTGCGGAGCCCGGCCCGCCACCAGCTGGACCACGTCTTTGTGAGTGCTGCCCGGGGTGGGGCGGAACGGGAGCTGTGGGACTGGGATGGAGGCCGGGGGCCTGACCAAGACCTCCCTTCTGAATCCTTCCAGAAAATCGGCATTGGAGAACTCATCACCCGCTCGGCCAAGCACATCTTCAAGACGTACTTACAGGTGCCACCCGTCCGCTCTGCGGCTGGCCATGGCCTCCCAGGGTGGTGTGGGGCGTCGGGAAAGAGCCTGAGGTGGGGCTGAGGGCCCTCATGACTCGGATCCAACCTGCCTCGCAGGGAGTCGAGCTCTCCGGCCTCTCAGCCGCCATCAGCCACTTCCTGAACTGCTTCCTGAGCTCCTACCCAAACCCCGTGGCCCACCTGCCCGCCGACGAGCTGGTCTCCAAGAAGCGGAATAAGAGGAGGAAAAACCGGCCCCCGGGGGCTGCAGATAACACAGCCTGGGCTGTCATGACCCCCCAGGAGCTCTGGAAGAACATCTGCCAGGAGGCCAAGAACTACTTTGACTTCGACCTCGAGTGGTGCGTGCGGGGCAGGGGCGGTGGGGTGGGTGGGATTGGGCAGATGAGGCGGCCACCACCTGCTCCCAGATGGCGTCTAAGGCCTGTGGTCATAGGCCAGGGAGTCAGAGAGAAGAGGGAGCAGCTGTGGAGATCACTGGGTGCTGGAGGGTGAGGGCAGCCGGGAGGCTCCCGGGGGCCGGGTGGGGCAGTGTTGGGGGCCCGGGCTGGACAGCGTTGGGGAGCTGGGTGGGGCGGTGTTGGGGGGGCCCGGCGGTGCTTGGGCTGCTCAGGCCCCCTGCTCCCTCCTCAGTGAGACCGTGGACCAGGCTGTGGAGACCTACGGCCTGCAGAAGATAACGCTCCTGCGGGAGATCTCGCTGAAAACAGGGATCCAGGTGGGCATGGCTCACAGCATCCCCGCTGTGTCCCCGCTGTGTCCCCGCTGCGTCCCTGCTGCAGGCTCCCACTCCTGGCCAGGGCCACAGGGGAAGTGGCTTTTTCACGGTAGCCGTCTGTGCGCAAGCGTTGGTGGGTTGGGAGGTGCCAACCCGCTGAACCTGGGCCTGAGGCTTCCTGTGGTGGGGGGGCTGCCCCCCAGGTCCTGCTGAAGGAGTACAGCTTCGACAGTCGCCACAAGCCCGCGTTCACCGAGGAGGACGTGCTCAACATCTTCCCCGTGGTCAAGCACGTCAACCCCAAGGCCTCGGATGCCTTCCATTTCTTCCAGAGCGGGCAGGCCAAAGTGCAGCAGGGTGTGTGGCCAGGTGGGGCTGGGTGGAGGTGGGGGTTCCCCATGGCCCGTCCTGACCTTGCCACCCCTGGGGGTGCCCTGCAGGCTTCCTGAAGGAGGGCTGTGAGCTCATCAATGAGGCCCTGAACCTGTTTAACAACGTCTACGGAGCCATGCACGTGGAGACCTGCGCCTGCCTGCGCCTCCTCGCCCGCCTCCACTACATCATGGGCGACTACGCAGAGGTACCCTCTGGGCTGTGGCAGCAAAGGCCTGGCCTCGTGTTGGGGGATGGGGAGTGAGGGGGCCCCTGACGGAGGAGTGGGTGGAGTCCAGGGAGACCCCAGGAAGTCGCTGGTTCTGCCCAGGCCACCCCTGGCTCCACCCCTCTGTAACTGTGTCCCGAGCGGGAGAGCTCAGGAGCACCCTGTGCTGCGGTGAGGTCAGTTCTGGGAGGCGATGGCAGGGGACCCCCCCACAGGGCGTCAGCAAGGACGCCTCCTGAGACTCCGTGAGTGGGCAGGAAGCATGCCACCGAGCTCCCACGTCCTCTGTGCCCAGTGCAGGCTGTGGGGTTCTGGGTGCCCTGCCTGGCCGGGGCTGGTGGAGGCTGTGGTGGGGTTCTGGGTGCCCTGCCTGGCCAGGGCTGTTTCAGGGTTAGCATGTCTTAGGATCCCTACTCCCTGCAAAGGGACTGTTTTTTCTTCTGTTTATAAATGGGTGGGTTGTTTGTTTGTTTGTTTGTTTCTGAGACAGGGTCTTGCTTTGTCACCCAGGCTGGAGTGTAGTGGCGTGATATCGACTCCCTGCAGCCTCAACCTCCTGGGCTCAAGCGATTCTCCCACCTCAGCCTCCCGAGTAGCTGGGATTACAGGCGTGAGCCAGCACACCCAGCTAATTTTTGTATTTTTAGTAGAGATGGGGTTTCATCATGTTGGCCAGGATGGTCTCAAACTCCTGACCTCAAGGGACCCACCCCTGCTCAGGCTTTTTTTTTTTTTTTGTAACATTTTTAGTAGTTTTAGGTTTGTATTTGGGTGTTTGTGGAGATTTTGTTGGGTGTAAGACATGGGTGTGTGGAGCTCTCTGTGGAGCGTGACCTGCCCTTCAAGGTGTGGCAGCAGCTGCTGCTGATCCCCCTCCCCCCTGCTGCACTGTGCTGGGCGCAGCCGGAGGGGACAGGAGCCTGCAGAGCGGCACCGTGGGCTGCTGGGCCGGGGCCAGGCGGGCTCTGGGTGCAGTGGGGGTTCCCACGCCGCGGCAACCACCACTGTCTCTCCCCAGGCCCTGAGTAACCAGCAGAAGGCGGTGCTGATGAGCGAGCGGGTGATGGGCACCGAGCACCCCAACACCATCCAGGAATACGTGAGTCGCGAGTGCCGCCCGCGCCGGGGGATGCGAGGGGCTGGGTCCGCGGCCACCCTGACCTGTCTCCGCCCCGCCCGCAGATGCACCTGGCCCTGTACTGCTTCGCCAGCAGCCAGCTGTCCACCGCCCTGAGCCTGCTGTACCGCGCCCGCTACCTCATGCTGCTGGTGTTCGGGGAAGACCACCCCGAGATGGCGCTGCTGGACGTGAGTGCTGGGGCGGGGGGGCGGCAGGGACCCAGCTCCATCCCAGGGGACCGGGAGCTGACCAGGGCCCCCCACCGCCTGCCCCCAGAACAACATCGGGCTGGTGCTGCACGGGGTGATGGAGTACGACCTGTCGCTGCGCTTCCTGGAGAACGCGCTGGCCGTCAGCACCAAGTACCACGGGCCCAAGGCCCTCAAGGTGGCCCTCAGGTGAGGGGCCGCCCGTCCAAACGCCAAGGCCGGCGGAGGCCTGCGGGGCAGCCGGCGGGGGCGGGGAAGAGACCCAGTGCTCCTGTCTTCCTCCACCCGAGAAAATTTCTCTCGACCTCCCCCTCTTCCCTGAGCCCTGGACTTGCTGTTCCCCTCGGTGGCTTCCAGGGAGGGATCTACGGGAGACCCCGGGCCCCCGAGTCAGGCCCCCACACCCAGCCCACTTATGCCCTTCCCTCGCCCCGCGCCGCGCCTCCCGGCAGCCACCACCTTGTCGCCCGAGTCTACGAGAGCAAAGCTGAGTTCCGGTCGGCCCTGCAGCACGAGAAGGAGGGTTACACCATCTACAAGACGCAGGTGCGCGGCGGGGGCGTGGCGGGGGCGGGGGCGGGGCGGGGGCGTGGCGGGGCGGGGGCGGGGCCGCGGGGGCACGGGGGGGCCTGATCCCTTCCCGCCTCCCCGCAGCTGGGCGAGGACCATGAGAAGACCAAGGAAAGCTCCGAGTACCTCAAGTGCCTGACCCAGCAGGCCGTGGCCCTGCAGCGCACCATGAACGAGATCTACCGCAACGGCTCCAGCGCCAACATCCCGCCCCTCAAGGTGAGTCCGGGGCGGAGCGGCCCCTCCGGCCCGGCGAGCGCGGGAGCCCCGCTCACCGCTGGTTTCCCCGCCCCGCAGTTCACGGCCCCCAGCATGGCCAGCGTCTTGGAGCAGCTGAACGTCATTAACGGCATCCTCTTCATTCCTCTCAGGTGAGGCCTCCGCCCCACTCGAGTGTCTCCCGGTTGGGGGTTTTTTGTGAGTCGGAGTCTCGCCCTGTCACCCGGGCTGGAGTGCGGCGGCGCCATCCCGGCTCACTGCAGCCTCCGCCTCCCGGGTTCAGCGATTCTCCTGCCTCAGCCTCCCCAGTAGCTGGGATTACAGGTGTCCGCCACCTCGCCCGGCTCATTTTTGTGTTTGTAGTAGAGATGGGGTTTCACCACGTTGACCAGGCTGGTCTCGAACTCTTAACCTTGCGATCCGCCCGCCTCGGCCTCTCAGAGTGCTGGGATTCCAGGCGTGAGCCATCGCGCCCGGCCCGCCCCGCTTATCTTCCCCAGCATCCTCGCATTCCGCGAGTGAAGACCTTGGTGTTTCTGCTTCACACAAAGTATCTTGGCGTTTTCCCACCAGTCCCTAAGAAGCGGCTTCATTCCCTCCCCACGCTTCCCATCCTGCGGCGGGGGGGGGCTGAGGAGCAGGCCCCGGGCTCCCCGGGGTGGCCACAAGCAGTGTGGCCTCCTGTGGGGAGTGGATTTGGTCAGCAAGGCGTGGCAGCAGCCCCCCAACTCCGCTTTCCTCCCCCTGCGCTGGAGGGAGGCCACCGAGGGCAGCGAGGGGAGCCCCGAGGCCGGGTCAGGTGCGGGGTCCTTACCTTCTCCGTGTTCAGGGACCTTCCGCCTTCAGGAGGGAAGCGCTTGTTCACACACATTCCCCACTGAATAGAGCGCAGAGCCTGAGCTTATCCCACAGGAAAGCCGGGAGGCGGGTGGAGCCCCCAGGACTCCTCTGAGAGCCACCTCCATCCCCACCCTTATCCTCAGCCAAAAAGACCTGGAGAATCTGAAAGCCGAGGTGGCGCGGCGGCACCAGCTCCAGGAGGCCAGCAGAAACAGGGATAGAGCCGAGGAGCCCATGGCTACCGAGCCCGCGCCAGCGGGGGCCCCAGGAGACCTGGGCTCCCAGCCCCCGGCTGCCAAGGACCCTTCTCCGAGCGTGCAGGGATAGAGAGGGAGCCAGACGGACAGCCAGCCAGCGGCCCCGTCACCAGGGAGCCCGACTGCGGGAGAAGGGGGCGAGCCTGCGGGCGGAAGAGGAAGCAAGGCCCTCTTCCTCCACGTCTCACCCCACCCCACCCCCGTGTCCTCCTGGGAGCCTGGCCTGCCTGCCCCGCAGAAGGTGTTTTTGCGCTGGTTCAATGAATAGATGATGCAGAGGCCCCATTGGAGACACGTGAATGGCGTGTGCGGCCATCAGTTCCCGGCTGGGGGGCAGGTGTTGCTTCGGCCCCCGCCGTCCGGCCGGCGTGTGCGAGTGCGCCCCTGGCTGTGAGTGTTGACCGTTCCTCTCCCCTGTACATAGCCCGAGCCAGTCCTGAGTGGGTGACTCCTGAGTGGGTGACGCGCAGACGGGATTTCTCAGGTCATTTGTATGGTCGACATGATGGCTGCTGCTTTGGCTGCCACCACCCCCGGGCCCAGCCTGTCTGAAAGTTCAGGGTTTAGGCCGAAAAACCCGGTGGGGAGGGGTGGGGAGCCGGAGCTCTGTGGCGGGGCTGGAGGGCTGGGGTGCACTTTAGTTTGGGGCGGGACGGGAGCCGCCGTTGTGACTGGCGTGGTCTGGCTGCTGCTCCCGAACGGAGGGGTCGGGGTTGGCTTGCTGGGCCCTCAGAGCCCAGTGGGTGGCTCTGACTCGGCTCCCTACTCCCTGCACCCAGCTGGGCGCAGCCTTGGGGCCTGCGGTCTGAATGTATCCCTCCCCTCAGTTTTAACCTGAGCTGCCGAACGCACAGTGGGCCGGGGGCGAGGCTGGGGGAAGCGGGGCCCAATTACGGATCCCGGGAGTTACAGGTGCCGACGTGATGTCGCTTCTCTGGTGCCCAGCTCCCTTCCTGGTCTGAGACTAGCTCTGGGGGTGGCGGGGGCCCCCACACGCTGCTCCCGCTCCACCCTGCCCGTGCTGCTGCTCTGTGCCTGCTGTCAGAGCCCTGGTGGGGGAGGATGTGGCCACCCTGAGACCCGGAGGAGACGGGCGTCTGCCTGGGTTTGCGGAGAGCCGCTTATGGGTGTGGTCCGTCCAGACACCTTGTTTCAAGGGGGATGGGCGTGAGCGGGCAAGCAGAGCATCCCCACCGCTGAGCAAGAACTTTTTCTTGTTTTTAAACCATCACGTCCTCATTTCACATTGGAATAAAGTGAGTTTTTGAAACCTGCGGCCCCAGGCTCACCTGTGTGTTCTGTAACCCGGTCTGGGTGGATGGTGAGGGCTGACAGGAATGTGACTGGGAGAGGAATAGATACAAACGAGGTCAAGTTCGAGGTCACGCTTACATTGTCACTTGAGTGGGAGGTAAGGGGGTGGAATCACAGGCACTCAGCTGGAATTCACCGAGCTGCCAGTCCGTCACCAGGTTCGCGGGAGTGTCGTGCAGGTGAATGTCACCTGTCACCAGGTGCAGAAGAAACTGTGAAGGCCAGGTGGGGAGGGGTGCTGGGCTGTGGGGCCAGGCCCTGTGCATGCTGGACCCGTGAGGTCACTGAACACCCCCCTGGCTGGCCACCTGCCCCTGTCTCTTCACTCGAGGTAGGAAGGAGGGTGGGCAGCACTGCCCAGAGGTGAGACACTGGGGGCAGGGAGGAGGGCCTCAAGTTCGCCACCCTCGGACAGGATTCAGAGAGCCAAGACCCAGGTGGACTTGAGCGGCAGAGCCTGTCTCTAGAGGGGAAGTTGAGCTCTCAGTAGCTGCTGACCGCTGCTCGCCATCTGTCTCCAAGAGCAGGCCCTCGGCCCCACCAGGAACATACGCCTTTTGGGATGCTTGGAGAGATCTGTACGTCTTGGAAATTCTGAAAAGAAAAAAATTCCATCCCTGAGTCTGTCAGTTTTCCTGAGCCAACCGGAGAAAAGGTGCTTCTGACCTGGCGGTTTTAGGTGACACCCGGGGACAGCCACCAGCGAGTGAGTGTCCTGCTACAGAACCTCTCAGACTTCCCAGCAGCCCCAGCCCAGCAGCAGCTTCCTTTGCTCTCACCGGTGTGTCCTGAACATTCTGTCCCCTCTCCTGAGTGTTTGTTGTTGAACGTGAGCCACATGTTCATGCACCTCTCAAAACAGGGCCTCCTGTGAAGCTGAGAACAGATCGGGGTTGGTTAGGGTTGTGCCTCCTTGTCACCTGAGAGGCCCCTATTTCCTGGCTGATCCTTTAAGCGTATTAGTGCCCTCAGACATCTTTTGACGACCCAAATGACAAGGGGCTGTTTTCATAAAGCAAATGGAGGCCCTAGGTGTGAAATCCACTCTTTCTCCTTCCCTTCTTTTAGGTGACAGGTTTCAACTTTTTAAAAAGTGGGCCAGGCGTGGTGGCTCACGCCTGTATTCCCAGCACTTTGGGAAGCCAAGGCTGGTGGATCATTTGAGGCCAGGAGTTCAAAACCAGCCTGGCCAACATGCTGAAACCCCATCTCTACTAAAATTACAAAAATTAGCCAGGTATGTGATGGCGGACACCTGTAATCCCAGCTACTCGGGAGGCTGAGGCAGGAGAATCACTTGAAGCCCAGGAGGCTGAGGTTGCAGTGAGCCGAAATCACGCCACTGCACTCCAGTCTGGGCAGCAAGAGTGAGACTGTCACACACACACACCCACATACACAAATTGGGGAAATTCCTATATATCCTGCAGCTGGAGAGTAAGGCATCCTGATGTGGCCCAAATTTTCCTCTCCCCTACCTCTAAGGTCTAAACTACCAAATCAATCAGGACCCCCCCCTCCCCACAGAGTGCAGGCCCAGCCATCCTCGAATGGCAGGTGAAATGCCCTCATTTGTGGGAGTAAGCCATTATTTTATTTTTGAGACAGAGTCAGTCAAGGTCAGGTGACCAAGTGGGAATGAAGATCATAGGACATCGTCACAAAGGGACAAACTCCACATGTTCAAAGTGAGGATAGGCCGGGCGCGGTGGCTCACACATGTAATCCCAGCACTTTGGGAGGCCGAGGCGGGCAGATCACAAGGTCAGGAGTTCAAGACCAGCCTGGCCAACATAGTGAAACCCTGTCTCTACTAAAAATACAAAAATTAGCCGGGCACGGTGGCACGCGCCTGTAATCCCAGCCACTTGGGAGGCTGAGGCAGAAGAATTGCTTGAACCTGGGAGGAAGAGATTGCAGTGAGCTGAGATCATCCCACTGCACTCAAGCCTGGATGACAGAGTGACACTCTGTCTCAAAAAATAAAAATAAATAAAAGGATGAAAGAGGAAAGATCGGGATCCAGACCTGAGCTGCGGGGCCAAGAGACCAGTGATGTGCCCAAGTTTCTTTGGTGAGAAGTTGAATCATTTAGCTCGGTGGTTCTCGAACCTGAGCCTGCCTCAGTCATTGGAAGGGCTTGTTATAATAGATTGTGAATCAAGCAAGCAAGCAGGCTGCACCGCTTCCACTCAGGGGTTCTGAGGCGTGAGCTCCCAGGTGCTGCTGCTCTGCTGAACCAGGGAACACACTTTGAGGATGCCTGTCCTAGAGCTTCTGGTGTATCAGCAGTTAAGAACCGTCTGCACACAAGTCAGGTTTCACCAGGCTAGGCAGGGACAGAGCTGCCACAGCCAGCTACCCTCCCCCTGCATCAAAGGCCATACACAGTCATGACTCCTGGAAGGAGGTTTGAGGCAGTTACAAGCCAGCGAGTTACTTGCCAGGTTTTGAACAGCTAACAGCATTTCTGGATAGTGATACTAACGCTAGAACTCTGCCCCTGGGGCCCTATCATCTGGATCTCAGCCTGGAAGAGTCTTGCAAGGAAATGGAAAAGCTGCAAAAGTGCAGGGAACTAACTTCAGGCCAATTTCTTTGTTTTTTCTTGCTTTTTTGAGCCAGGGTCTTGCTTCATTGCCCAGGCTGGAGTGCAGTGGTGCAATCCTGGCCCAGTGCAACCTCCGCCTCCCAGGTTCAAGTGTTTCTCCTGCCTCAGCCTCCCAAGTAGCTGGGACTACAGGCACCTGCTACCACGCCTGGCTAATTTTTTTTGTATTTTTAGTAGAGACGGGGTTTCACTGTATTGTCCAGGCTGGTGTCAAACTCCTGAGCTCAGGCAATCTGCCCGTCTCGGCCTCCCAAATTGCTGGGATTGCAGGCGTACCACTGCGCATGGCCCATTCCTTTTTTGCTCTGGGCCAAGCTCCTATTTTGGGGCAGGCTACTACTCCCAATAGGAGGCAGGAAAACAGCTGGGCTGTAAGAAAGGAACCAGCACATCACCAAACTGTCCTTTGTAGGGCACCTTGAATACACCACAGATACAGCCATGTGTAAAGTGCAGAGCTGGGGTTTCTGGGACAAAGATGAACACTCTTATTTTGTATGTTTCAACCAAAATCGAAAACAGTATTAAGGATTTACTTTTATGATTCCAAGACCACTGAGCAAGATTAGAGGCTAACAGAACAAAGGGGGTAGGGCCCCATCTTTTTTTTTTCCTTTTTGTGGAGAACGGGGTCTCGCTATATTGCCCAGGGAGGTCCCGAACTCCTGGGCTCAAGCTATCCTCCCGTCTCTGCCTCCCCAAGAGCTGGGATTACAGGCGTGAGCCACCGCGCCCGGCAGGGCCCCTTATCTCTAGACTCTGTCCCCAAGAGTCTAGTCTTGGGCCTGTAACCAGCCATCCTGGCTTTGGCTCTCTGGCCACAGCGATAGCCACAGTCAGAACGGGCTGCTGGGAGGGTTGGGGAGAGCGGGCCTGTGCCGCAGACGCATGCCATGGCAAGGCTCAGGCTGAGGCACTCCCTCCTCCACCCGGGGGAAGGGGGACAGCAAAGCCAGTTCGGGTGCTGCCCTGAAGGAAAGCAGCTCATGAGGCCTTACTGCCCTGACACCGATTCGTGTCACTCTTTGTGACTGGAGCTACACACAGCCCCACTTTCTATCAGCATTTCCCCTGTGCAAAGGAAGACAAAAAAAAAAAAAAAAAAAAAAAAAAAAATCACATCTAGTTTTATAGGCATTTAATAGTTTACCAGTTGGTACAATAAGATTTTTTAATATGCAGAAAACATGAATAAATTTTGTTTTACACAGTCTGAGAGCAACAAATCTTACTGTAAAACACGAGAGCAATATTATATACATTCCTTTACTGATTTTTTAAAATTGTGTCAATATCTTCAGTGAACTCTTAACAATCTGGGGAACTGTTTTCCTCAATTACCACTTCAGCAACGTTCATACGAAATCAAGGCTTGCCTTCATGTCAGTGTCAGGATCAACTTTAACTCGAAGAGTTTGTGTTTGTCTCTAACATCTTCAGAGTGAGCTTTAGGGATGCCTGAAGGATGGACAGTACAAGCAAGCAGCTACTTCCATGATACAGTGGGAAGATAAAAAGGCCCATTCAGTCCAGCCGTGACCTGTAAATCCAGCTTGCCCTCCCCCCACCCCACTGGAAAAAAAATCCAAAACCTTTTTCCACCAGTTTTTTACATGTCGCTTCTCTACCAGGAGATTCTTTGCGTCATCTAGATGAACACACTGGACTTATATACAGCTGGACATGAAAGTAACCAATTTAAGTGCCTTTTCCTTCAACAATTTTAACTTCAGTTGCTTAAGGATGATCGAGCCACCGATGTCAACAAAATATCCTTTACCTTTAAATAGTTTTTCTTTAATTAAGTTTAAAGAAAACCTATTTAACGAGTGATATTACCGGGAAAGTTCACACAGAAACAGAAAGAGGCGAACGGGAGAGCAGGGCACTGGCAGCGGGGAGGCGGGGCTTGGTAAATCTAAAGCCAAAGCTTCCAAAGACTACGGCGAACGCTCCCCAGCCCGGGACGACTTGCTAACACTAGTGATTTTGAGAGTAGTGCTCTGGGCACACCATTGGTCACACCACACACAGACGAACCAGGACGGTCTTAGTCTCCTAAAGTGCAAGATGCCGTGACAACAGGCAACTAGGCTCCACGCGGTGTCTAAACCAGTCTCCATGGCATGCACTCTCAAGAGCGCAGCTAGGATTTCTTGGGCACGTTACAGATATATATTTGGGTGGCACTGGAATGTCTGTTTTCACACACACACACAGTCAATAATCATCTGAGGATGCAATTCTACCAGCTCTTTATTTCTTAAGTGGCCAATTTGATTGAGAAAGTGACAAAGCAGCAGTGAACCTCTAAACCAATTAATAAAAGTCCTCTACTTACAATCCAAACCAGTAACCTCATCATTGTCCTTATCCCAGGCAAGGCACAGGGTTAGACAGCAGACAGAGAAAACAGAGAACACAGTCAGAAAGGGCATCAACAGGACAGTGTCAGACAGCAGTGCAGGAAATTTTGCAAATCTGATTCCAGGTTGTAGACGGACTGCTCTCCCCCACCCCTTCGTTATTAAACAGGGCTCATTACATGTGGACCCAGTTGTGGGCCATCCCTGAGATTCAATGTTCGCTGCTTCTCACATGGAGGATGTCTGGTAACTCAACTCAGCAGCAGGCTGTGGCAATCTCCCAAGTAAGGATAACTTTGTTTACAGAGTAATCGTTTCCTCCTCCTTTGTCAACGCAAGTCGCTGTGTGCTGCAGGGGAAGACACGCTTGCTTCCTCCTGCATCGGTACCATTCTCCTTTATTGTTCAATATCTATGAGTGATTTCTAGATGTTGTGGCTTACCCTTAAACAATTCATGCTAAAAATGAATTAAAATACAAGACATTTATACATGTACAAACAAATGTTAAGATGCACCATTTCTATGTATTTATATTTCTCAAAATAGGACAGAAAATAGCAGCAAACAAGAACAAAGATATTTTCCATAGTTTTTGTAGAAAAATCCAGTCAGAAGAGCTAAGGGAAAAAGACTTTTCAATGTAAGCAGGGTTGTGAGGCAATATTGTCCTGAAAATTCACCTACTGTATGTATTTAAGGAATTAGCTTAAGATGTAATTTTTGTCCTCAAAAATAGCCATTAGTTCTCAAAACTTTCCCTTCCAGAGACATCTCTCAGGAATCTAAAAACAAACAAGCAAACAAACAAAAAGACACAAGCTAGACATAAAGCTGCTTCTAGTTAATATACGGCCTAGTCTCTGTGTGTATCTACAGGACGCTAACTCTCACCCTTTGTCTTTTGCAGGAACCAATTTTCCATTAAATACTAAAGGGGACATTTAAAAAATCACATAGTACACAAATGAATAAAACGCAGTTCAGAATTTTATCTTTGTTAAACTGTCACTGTTATCTCATTGTTCTGTTAACTTTTCAAATAACTCTCTTGGAAACAAAAAAAACCTGTTGGTTAGCTAAGCAATGGAATTCTTTATTAATAACTGACAATGGAATAGTGCTCCAAAAGTCATGGCTAAAAATTCTCTTAAACCTACCTGTAACTTTGGGTCAAAATATACAACATATCCGGGTTGTGTAAAATGTCGAGCGGCTAAATTAGAGGGGGACATAACGGAAGTGATTTTCCTTCGGCTGGAAAAAAATCCCCAGAGTCAGACCTAGTTTTCAGAAGCATTAAGATCAAAAAGGGTTTGTTCTAAAGCATGGCATTCCACAGCAACATTTATTCTACTTGTCCGTTTTAGCACTTTTTCAAAAACCCAGGACTAAGGACATGGAGGTTGATGTGTATGATACACACATACAGACTTATCCACTTACAGATAGGCCCATATACTTACAAACATTTACATATAAACAAAAGGTGAAAACAGTACATTTTTATGCACGCTCCATTAAACCCTGTCATTTTTTTAAAACTTGTAAGTGAAACACAGTTTAAATCAATATCAGATTCATGTTGAAAAACAAACTGCTGTATTCCTCCCACTCCTTTCAAATGGGCACACAGAACCTTCTCAGTATTTCTGTCATTATGTAATGCACATTGCACATCCCTAAAAAACACCAAAAACGAATAGTGATTTGTACCATGACACACTCAATGGGGAGATTAAATTCTACTTGGAAGTCACATCACTACACAGTCTAATAGTATGGAGAATACAACTAGAAGTATGTCCAGTGTGGAAAATAGAAGCTTAGAGTATGACAGTATTTTTTGACCTGTTTACAAAGCATTAAGACCAAAATGAAATAAATGAGTTGCTATTAGCTGCTGAGATTTTTCTTGAGATTTACAGTCATTTTCTTACATAAATATACCACTAGCCTCTGCGTGATAGGCTGCCAAAACAAATATATCCTACTGATTTGGCAAATGTGTCATGACAAAAATTCCAATGTATAATCCCCATTCATTACATAGATGGTTCAGAAGATTCTGAATTGTAGCCTTATCATCTAAAATCCTTACAGAAGATTTATTAAGCACACTTAAGTGATGTTACATAGATACACATTTCAGAAAAAGCCCTAATAACCACCACTTTTCCCCAAATGAGGCCATCAAGTCAGGCACCAACAGATAGCAGAAAGAAAAACAGGAATTAATAATCCAACATAAAATGACACTGTCAACTATTCAGTTTAGTGCCCTAGTTCAATTGATTCAACTTCTGCCTTCTTAGGCCTGGTGTGACCAATGCCAGCCCAGGTTTTTAAACCCTATGGTACTTCTAGACAACGTATGTAAATTTACAGTATACAATTTGGATTCACCATGCATGAATACTTTGTGTGTAACATTTAATAAGCTCAATCTACATCCAGAATAATTTACATGAAAGGACAATATTTATTTAAACAGAGCTCAATGGGGTAACCATGGTATCATCAGAGTGCATCCAGAGGAAAAGAGGGAGGAGGGGCCGAAGGAGACACAATCAACGGCACTCCCACACTTTTACTGTTTGATCTACGCTGCCAGTGACGACATAGGGTGCCGTCTTGTGGAAATCTGAAAGAAAAAGAAATGGTTTATTTAAAACTCACACGTAAGCCTGGACAACAAACATAGTGAGACCCCCTCTCTACAAAATACAAAATTAAAAAAAAAATTAGCCGGGCATGGTAGTGTGTGCCTGTAGTCCCAGCTACTCGGGAGACTGATGCAGAACTGTTTGAGCTGGGAAGTCGAGGCTGCAGCGAGCCATGACTGCACCACTGCACTCCAGCCTGGGTGACAGAGCAAGACCCTGCCCGGTCCCAACCCTCCATCACACTGAGCCAGATACAATTTTTAATGAGCCACAAAATTCTAAGAAAGTCCAAATGCCAGTAGTTTTCGTGTTTCTCTAATATACCATAACCCAAGAAGGTATCTAGTTTGCCAATTCAGTTAGGGAAGTTGAGACTCAATGATCAAATCCTGTATTAACATCTCAATAAAAACGCCTGTTCCTCTTTGGCCCATCCCAAATGGGGCTCAAATCCTTTTTCTTCTTTTTTCAAAGGCAGGGTCTCACTATGTTGCCCAGGCTGGAGTGCAGTGGCTGTTCAAAGGTGCGATCCCACTACTGATCAGCAAGGGAGTTTTGACCTGCTCTGTTTCTGACCTGGGCCAGGTCACCCCTCCTTAGGCAACCTGGGAGTCTCCTGTTCCCAGGAGGTCACCATATTGATGCTGCACTTAGTGCAAACATCCCATCAGCACAGCACACTGTAACCCAGAACTCCTGGGCTCAAGCAATCCTCCAGCCTCAGCCTCCTGAGTAGCTGGGACTAAGGCACAGCAGGGCTCAAATCTAACAATACACAGTCTCGCCATATCCATTTACTGAACACGATGTTCCAGGCATGGCATAAATGCTCCGTATTTGTGCCTAATCCTTGAACCAATCCTGTGAGGCAGGTATTAGCCCACCTTACGCAGGCTTTGGTCCATTATACTTTAGTGCATTTATTATACTTGACTGTATTCACTCTCTTAAATTCCAGATTCAAGTCCAGATGATAGTGAGGATGTTTACTCAAATCAAATACAATTTTCTGAGTTTCTAGTATCTGATAGTATACACCTGCCAGTGGGAAAGGTTGAGGAAGATTTTGTTTGAGAAACAAACTAATAGGGGAGAAAAATTACCCATCAGAGTGGTAAGTAACCTCTTCACAAATTGTGGTTTCCAAAACCAATGTTGTGCAGTGGAGAAAGTAATGTTTTTATTATAAGGCTAACGATGGAAAGAGTTAACGGGAAAGGAGAATTTAAAACAAATGGTAGGAATCCACAAGATTTTCATGTCTTCTCTATTCTGCCCTGAAAGCACAGTCATTTCTTACCTGGCAAAGTCCACACGATTATGTAAAACACAGTTTGTCTGGCACTCCAAAATCTAATGTTCAGAGACCTCGCGAGGCGTACATACCCAAGGAGGTAACAAAGTGTTCATGCGCATTGAGGGTCTTCATGCATCGCTTGTTCTTGTAATCCCATACGCGTAGGGTCTTGTCATCAGCACAACTCAAAATAAACTTCCCCCCAGAATGGAACAGAACTCCACGTACCCAGTTATCATGACCCACCTTAAAAACAAAAAAGTTATTTGACTCAGTAAAAGGCAAAATGTTTAAATAGCATCTATTTCATAATACGATAAAACTATACATACCAAAAACATCAAAAGACCAGAAGAAAATAAAAGTCTAGGGGATTCTAGATTAAAGGAAACTGAAAACTCATAAGACATGAGGAGTGAATATAACGTACGATCCCTGACTGGGTCCTGGATGAGGGTTAAAAAGAAGTCCCGCAGGGCATTATGGAAATAACAAGAACAAATCTCAATATGTAGTCTATCAATGGTAAATTTCTTGAGTGTGAATAATTTTATTTTGGTTATTTATATACTATCCTTGTTCTTAGGTGGTTCATGCTAAAATACTTGGGGGTAAAGTGTTACGATGTCTGCAAAGAACGCTCAAATGATTTCAGCAAAATATACACACATACATGAAGGAAAACCAACAAATGGTAACTAAGTGAAGGATATACAGGCATTCACTATATATCTATATATCCATCCATCCATCCATCCATCCATCCATCCATCCATCCAATCATCCAATCATCCATCCATCCACCCACCCACCCATCTATCTATCCATCCAATCATCCATCTAATCATCCATCTAATCATCCATCCATCCATCCATCCATCCAATCATCCATCCATCCATCCATCCAATCATCCATCCATCCATCCATCCAATCATCCATCCATCCATCCAATCATCCATCTATCCATCCAACCATCCAATCATCCATCTATCCATCCATCCAATCATCCATCCATCCATCCATCCAATCATTCATCCATCTAATCATCCATCCATTTAATCATCCATCCATCTATCCATCCATATTTCCCCTGTCGCAGCAGTTCTGTTCTTGCAATTTATCTTTAAGGACATGCCCAGAGATTTAGTTAGCAAAGATGTTCACAAAGCATTGTCTGTAGATCAGTGTAGAAGAGCATCTAACAACATAAGCAAGGATCACATACTTTCTAAATTAAAGGTTTGCTACAAAGCTACCTTAAGGGGCATGATACCATTTTTATAAAAAATAGCACATTCATCTACACATTAAAGAAAAAGGCTTAGAACTGCACAGTTGAACATGGTAGCTACTGTCCATGTACGCCTACTTTAATATATAATATTAAGATTACATACAACCAACAATTCAGTTCTTCAGTCTCACTAGCCACATTTCAAGAGTATAATAGCTGCATGTGGCTAGTAGCTACCACGCTGGATAGTGCAGTTATAGCACAGCACTGCAAAATTTTGTTTTGTTTTAAAAAGAGACAGCAACTCTGTTGCCCAGGCTGGAGTATAGTGGCATGATCACGGCTCACTAAAGCCTCAAATTCCTGGGTTCAAGTAATCCTCCTGCCTTAGCCTCCCAAGTAGCTAGGACTATAGGCATGCATCATCATGCATGACTAATTTTTAAACTTTTATTTTGGTAGAGACAGGGTCTTGTTATGTTGCTCAGGCTGGTCTCAAACTCCTGGGCTCCTCCTGCCTTGGCCTCCCAAAGTCCTGGGATTACAGGTGTGAGCCACTGTGCCTGGCCAAGAGTATGTTTTTCTTGTTTCTTTTCTTTTTTTTTCCTGGAGACAGAGTCTTACTTCACTGCCCAGGATGGAGGGCAATGGTGCGATCTCGGCTCACTGCAACCTCCGTCTCCCAGGTGCAAACGATTCTCAAGCCTCAGCCTCCCGAGTAGCTGGGATTACAGACGTGCGCCACCATGCCCGGGTTTTTTTTTTTTTTTTTTTGAGATGGTTTCACTCTTGTTGCCCAGGCTGGAGTACAATGGCGTGATCTTGGCTCACTGCAACCTCCGCCTCCCAGGTTAAAGTGATTTGCCTGCCTCAGCCTTCCCAAGTAGCTGGGATTACAGGCATGTGCCACCATGCCTGGCTAATTTTGTGTTTTTAGCAGCGATGGGGTTCCTCCATGTTGGTCAGGCTGGTCTCGAACTCCCAACCTCAGGTGATCCACCCATCTCGGCCTCCCAAAGTGCTGGGATTACAGGCGTGAGCCACCGCGCCTGGCCACGCCCGGCTAATTTTTGTAATTTTAGTAGAGACGGGGTTTCACCATGTTGGCCAGGCTGGTCCTGAACTCCTGACCTCAGGTGATCCACCTGCCTCAGCCTCCAAAAGTGCTGGGATTGCAGGAGTGAGCCACTGCGCCTGGCCTGCTTTATTTTAATTATATATCATCTTTTCTTAACAGCAACATGGTATAGCTGAACTCCGCTCAGAATACTACTAGAGGAGAGTTTCATTTTCTTTTTATTTATTTATTTATTTATTTTTTGAGGCGGAGTCTCGCTCTGTCGCCCAGGCTGGAGTACAGTGGTGCCATCTCCGGTCACTGCAAGCTCCGCCTCCCGGGTTCACGCCATTCTCCTGCCTCAGCCTCCCAAGTAGCTGGGACTACAGGCACCCGCCAGGATGCCCGGCTAATTTTTTGTATTTTTAGTAGAGACGGGGTTTCACCATGTTAGCCAGGATGGTCTCAATCTCCTGACCTCGTGATCTGCTCGCCTCGGCCTCCCAAAGTGCGGGGATTACAGGCGTGAGCCACCGTGCCCGGCCGAGAGTTTCATTTTCTAATCAGTTCTTGAAGATGCTTCCACATATGTCTGTCATATCCTACAGAGAGACAATCACTTCAAGGTATCATTAGCACCTAAAAAATCTCTAAACAAATGTGGATGCCAAATTATAAAAACTACTACTAAACAAACATCCACAGATCTCCTTGGAACTCCTTTAGGCACATAGGAATGTCCACAATCCCTTACTAGTATTGACATATCTTTCTATGGAAATACAGATGCTCCTAAATAAGCCAAATAAACTAGATCATGTGAGCAAGGAGGTATAACAGTTAAAAGGATTCATATAAATAAAGTGAAACAGAGAAACAAACATCTTCAACAGTGAACAGGTCTCTAAGAATGCTGCTTTTTCTCCGTAAGAGATATTACACATTTGTTTTATTTTATTTTTTTTGAGATGGAGTCTCACTCTGTCGCCCAGGCTGGAGTGCAGTGGCACAATCTCGGCTCACTGCAAGCTCCACCTCCCGGGTTCACGCCATTCTCCTGCCTCAGCCTCCCGAGTAGCTGGGACTACAGGCGCCCGCCACCACGCCCAGCTAATTTTTTGTATTTTTTGGTAGAGACGGGATTTCCCCAAGTTAGCTCGATCTCCTGACCTCGTGATCCACCCGCCTCGGCCTCCCAAAGTGCTGGGATTACAGGCGTAAGCCACCGCGCCCGGCCGAGATATTACACAATTTTTAAAGATACAGTGAGCTAGCAGCATCTCCCCCTCAAACACCGACTGGCTCTACAGATTCTTTATAGAATCTGCATTCTAGAGAAATAACTTTCACATCACTATAACAACAACAAAAGCTAAAGGAAAACTATCTTTATAAAGAAGTTATTTTAAAGCCCAGAATAATTCAGATTATTTAAGATATCATAAAGCATTAATCCAAAAAGGTATAAACAGTGAAGATGCAAAAGAAATGGTAAGATTATGCAAACTTACGAGGGTCATAAGGCACATGCCAGTACTGACATCCCACATCTTAATAGTCTTGTCTCTGGATCCAGACAGCAAGAATGGCCCAGGTTTACCACTTTTTTTAGTCTACAGAAAACATAATAAAAATTAAGTTTCCCACACAAGAAGTTAGGTATGGACTTTAAATGGCTTCTATCTAATAATGATATATATTTCCAATTTTTTTGTTGCATTTTGGTTTTTTGTTTGTTTTCAGACGGAGTCTGGCTCTGTCACCCAGGCTGGAGTACCGTGGTGCAATCTTGGGTCACTGCAACCTCCGCCTCCCGGGTTCAAGCGAATCTCCTGCCTCAGCCTCCCAAGTAGATGTGATTACAGGCACGCACCACCACATGTGGCTAATTTTTGTATTTTTAGTAGAGATGGGGTTTTGCCATGTTGGGCAGGCTGGTCTTGAACTCCTAACCTCAGATGATCGATCGGCCCACCTCGGCCTCCCAAAGTGCTGGAATTACAGGCGTGAGCCACTGCGCCCAGCCCAATTTGTTTTTATCTGTTGAAATACACAAGTCTTTCACACCATACCTATGCTACACAGGAAGGACTCAGATAATGTAAGAACAGAAGTCTCTATTTAGGTTAGGACTCAGTTTTCATAAAACCAACAGATAATAAATTTACTTTTCAAGATTTCTGTAATCACTATTTAATTTAACTTTTACAAATCCAACCAAAACCAAATTTACTTATTTATTTTTTTGATCTGGATTAGGGAATATTTATTTATTTCAAGACAGGGTCTCATTCTGTCACCCAGGCTGGAGTGCAGTGGAACAATCATAGCTCACTGCAGCTTTGAACTCCTGGGATCAAGCAATCTTCCTGTCTCAGTCTCCCTAGTGGCTGGGACTACAGGAGTGTACCACCACACCTAGCTAAGTTTTTGAAAATTTTTTCCGTCATTAGTATAGTGGTGAGTTTAAAAAAAAAAAAAAAGTTTTCTGTAGAGACGGGGTCTCGCTATGTTGCTCAAACTCCTGGGCTCAAGTGATCCTCCTGCCTTGACTTCCCAAAGTGCTGGGATTACAGGCGTGAGCCACCACACCAGAATCAAATTTATGACATACAGCATGTAACCACCACCAGAGGGCAGTAAACAGAATCTCAAAATGCAATGGGCCAATCAAAATAAAGAGAACTCACAAGAGAAGATTCATTTAGAAAAATAAGTGGGATGGGGGTAGAGGGAGAGGAAACTGCCTCCTTTGTTTATTGACATGTAGTTTTAAAAATACATGATAGGAATGCCTCTGTCAAAATCAATGTGAAGCCAGGCACAGTGGCTCACACCTGTAATCCCAGAACTTTGGGAAGCTGAGGTGGTCGGATCACTTGAGGCCATGAGTTTGAGAGCAGCCTGGCCAACATGGCAAAACCTTGTTTCTACTAAAAATATAAAAATTAGCTGGCAGGGTGGTACATGCATCCGTGGTCCCAGCTACTCAGGAGGCTGAGGCAGGAGAATCGCCTGAACCTGGGAGGCGGAGGTTGCAGTGAGCCGAGATCACGCTACTGTACTCCAGCCTGGGCAACAGAGTGAGACTGTCTCAAAAACAAACAAAAGTTTTAGACCATTCATTTTCATTCATTTATTAGAAACAGGGATCTTGCTATGTTGTCCCAGGCTGAACTTTAACTTCTGGACACAAGTGATCCTCTTGCCTCAGCCTCCTGAGTAGCTAGGACTATAGCCATGTGCCGCTGTACCTTGTAATTTTTAACATATTAATAATAAAGACCAAAACCATAAAGATCACAAAGAAATGCGTTAAAACTCCAGGCTCAGCTAGTACTTTTAAATGATCAAGAACATCAGAGGCTGCCATATGGATTAGTCTTCATTTAAAAAAACATTTATACTATCACATCTGGAATTAATTTTAAAAAATAAATACTGAACTGCATTTTACCATAAATTTATAAATAAAATCATTATCTTCATTAATGAAGGCTATTTTTCTGACAGAAAACTTTAACCTCTCCCTCAGGTTTTGTTTTACATTGAGATGATCTCATAACACTGATTTTTCTGATAAATTTTAATTCTTTAGGAGAATACCCATCACGTATCAAATCAAGGATAGGCTGACAGCAATAATCATCACTGGTTAAATAATGTAAACACATCAGCAAGCTGTGAAGAGTAGAGAATTTCAAGATTCAGAATTGCTGGATGCAGATTTTTAAATGCATTAACAGCCCTGAAACAGGGAATTAGCAAAGTTATCTAAGGACTTCAGATATCAGCAATAAAACCATGAAGACATTTGTATATACAGTACCTCAGATCCTGTTGCTTCAGAGATGGAGGAATATGAGCTTTCTGGAGCCCAGGAAATGCATTCTACCACATGCTCATGCTCTCGGAGCTCAGCCTTGCATTCCTTTGTTGCTACGACCCATACACGCACAGTCTGGTCATTGGAACAGCTGGCTATCAGAGTGCCATCTTGATTTGGCCGTACCATACGTACCCATTCTCTGTGTCCTGTGAATGTCTTCACACAGTAGCTGTCAATATAAATAATAACTTACACTGTGAATGACAATCATCAGGACACTTCCCAGAAGTGATATAAAAATATGTACTGGGATGAAGAGAATGGTACCAAGTTAGAGATGCAAGTCGACAGAATAAATGTACAATCCTGGTTAATTAAAGTAGGAACAATAAGCTAACAGACATATCATTAAGGAGCTAATAAAATCAACATCTAGAAGATAAAATATGTATAAGAAATAAAATCTTTCAAAACTAAATGCACACTTAAAAGTATTTCCAGCCATATTGGAAAAAAGCTATGCTCTACTAATCTGAGTAAAACTAGTAACTTTGTACTACAAAAATCAAGTGTAATTCTATGCACAACCAAATTCAGCCTAACAGAGGTATACCAGCACAAAGATTATTTACTTTTTGTTTTTTTTTTTTGAGACGGAGTCTCGCTCTGTCGCCCAGGCTGGAGTGCAGTGGCGCGATCTCGGCTCACTGCAGGCTCCACCTCCCAGGTTCACGCCATTCTCCTGCCTCAGCCTCCCGAGTAGCTGGGACTACAGGCGCCCGCCACCACGCCCGGCTAATTTTTTGTATTTTTAGTAGAGACGGGGTTTCATCGTGTTAGCCAGGACGGTCTCGATCTCCTGACCTCATGATCCGCCCGCCTCTGCCTCCCAAAGTGCTGGGATTACAGGCGTGAGCCACCGCGCCCGGCCAAAGATTATTTACACTTTAATTTAAACCCACAGAGAGATCACCTAAAAGAAGACCACAGAGGAAATAAGCCATTACACAGAAATGCTTCTCAAGGACATAGAGTCTCTCCTTACAATGTCTCTGTGCTCCTTTTTGGGAGACATGTACAGATCAAACTTAGTTTTAAAGTATATTTAATATGACTGTCATAATGATCATTCCGGGTTAAAGTCGAAGTGACTGCAACACCAGAACACAATTTTGTTTTTTATAAATATGTCTTTAAGCTGATGCCTTTTCTTTTTTTTTGAGACGGAGTCTCACTCTTGTTGCCCAGGCTAGAGTGCAATGGCACGATCTCGGCTCACTGCAACCTCCACCTCCCAGGTTCAAGTGATTCTCCTGTCTCAGCCTCCCAAGTAGCTGGGAATACAGGTGTGCGCCACCACACCCGGCTAATTTTTGTATTTTTAGTAGAGATGGGGTTTCATCATGTTGGCCAGGCTGGTCTTCAATTCCTGACCAGGTGATCTGCCCACCTTGGCCTCCCAAAGCGCTGGGATGACAGGTGTGAGCCACTGCACCTGGCCGCTGATGCCTTTTCAACTAAACTTACTTACCCAGTTTGCACTTCCCACATTTTTATAGTTTTATCCCTTGAGGCAGACACTATATGATCTCCATTGGGCATGATGGCTACTGAAGAAACATTGTGGTCATGGCCTAAAACACATAACAGCAATATATTATGAAGTAATATACCACCAAGAGCAATGAAACATCAATTGACCATGGGATTTTACCATGGGGTTTCACTATGTCAAAGCAAGTTCTAAATACACTGGATTTTATACAAATTGGATAAGAAACCTGGATTTACACGATAAAGTTAAAAAAATCAGTAAAACAACAACCCACAAGGAAATAGTCAACTCCATTTAGGATTAAATTTCAACCTGTACAAATGGTTTAAAAACAAAAGGCATCACGATTATCAACATTTGAATATATTCATATACTTACCTCAGTGAGTCTGAATGTTTACATATGAACGCTAGGGAAACATTTTTTTTTTTTTTTTTTTTTTTTTTTGTGAGGCAAGGACTTGCTCTGTTACCCAGGCTAAAGTGCAGTGGTGCAATCATAGCTCACTGTAGCCTTGAACTCCTGGGCTCAAGAGCTCTTCCCGCCTCAGCCTGTCGGGTAGCTGGAACTACACAGGTGTGTACCACCACATCTGGTACCACCACACCCACAACTATTTTATTTTTTGTAGAGACAAGGTCTCCATATTTTGCTCACACTGGTCTCGAACTCCTGTCCTCAAGCAATCCTTCCTGCCTTGGCCTCCAAAAGTGCTGAGATTATAGGTGTGAGCCACTGTGCCTAGCTTCTAGGTTGATATTCTAAGATATAAAAAAGATAAAGCAAATGGATACAAAAAATGGGGAATTGGTTCTCTGTTTAAAATGGTGGGCCAGGCGCAGTGGTTCATGCCTGTAATCCCAGCACTTTGGGAGGCCGAGGCGGGCGGATCACCTGAGGTCAGGAGTTCAAGACCAGCCTGGCCAATATGGTTAAACCCTGTTTCTACTAAAAATAAAAAAGTTAGCCGGGTGTGGTGGTGCTTGCCTGTATTGCCAGCTACTTTGGAGGCTGAGGTGGGAGAATCATTTGAACCTGGGAGGTGGAGGTTGCAGTGAGCAAAGATTGTGCCACTGTACTCCAGCTTGGGTGACAAAGCAAGAGGCCATCTCCAGAAAAAAAAAAAAAAAAAAAAAGGTGGTGTTGGGGGTAAAAAAAAAAAATGCATTAGAAAGAACTCTTTTTAAAGTTACAGCTAGAAGATACAGGCAACTTAAAGAAAAATAAATGATAGACCTTACGTGGCTCACGCCTATAATTCCAGCACTTTGGGAGGCTGAGGCAGATCAGGAGGTCAGGAGTTCGAGACCAGCTTGACCAACATGGTGAAACCCCGTCTCTACTAAAAATACAAAAATTAGACGGGCGTGGTGGCGCGTGCCTATAATCCTAGATACTCAGGAGGCTGAGGCAGGAGAATCACTTAAACCTGGGAGGCGGAGGTTGCAGTGAGCCAAGATTGTGCCACTGCACTCCAGCCTGGGCGACAGAGTGAGACACAGTCTCAAAAAAAAAACAACCAAAAAACAACAACAAAAAAACAGTGTTCATGCGTGGAATTCCTGTAATTATAAACTTCCCCAATGCATTTAATTTGGGACAGAGAAAACACAACCTTCAAATTATGCCCTCTAGGTAAACACAGTTTACTCATGTGTTAACGTGTTCCTTGTACAAAATCCCAACATTCAAATGTCATCATGTATAAAGAAACAACAAAAATCCCTAAGTAATGAGCATCTCCTATGTGGCAGGTACTACACCAAGATGATTTATCTTATGACTTCATCTTATCCTCATGACAACTCTATGACTCTGGTATTATTACCTCTGTTTTGCAGATGAAAGAGGTTTAAATTTTCTAATACCGTAAGTAGACAAGTAGGAATTTGAACCCAGGTGTCTGACTCCAAAGCAAATTACTCTCTTTCCACAAAACATACTGCCTCAGAAAACAGTTCCCACAACAAGACCCGGGAAATAATGAACGAGGGCATGGGGTCTGTGCGCTCAGCTCATTTCACTTAAGTGAGCAAGAGAATCTGGGCTCGTTTTCACTCGACCTACTCTCTCTGGACTTCAGTTTCCCAACTAACAAAAATTAAAACACAAACAAAACCATTTTTAACTCAAATACAGATAAATGACCTGGCAGTTTTTCTTACCAAGAAATACTCATACAAATATTTTATGTAAAGTACTAAAAGATACTTAAAACTTCCTAATAGAAAGCACTCTCAACTACTGTGGCTTATCCCTGGACTATCTACATGGTATGCTCTTCCACCAATACTGACAATTAAGAGGTGAATAAAGGAACACTGTACACTGTTAGAAACAATATTCCTTCTGAAGTACCATGATAGAAATTACTGTTAAAGCACTATCCTCTACCCCTTACCGTGCATGGTTCTGATGCATTCAAAGCCCTGAAAATCCCATAGTTTAATGGTCATATCTGCAGAACAGGAAGCCAGAAGCTTGCCGCTGTGGTCGAATGAAATGTCCTGTACAGAGTCTGTATGTCCTTTAAGAGTTCGTTCAAAATCTCCAGTCTCATAATCCCACACCTGTCAAGTGAACAGAAAATTGGTTAACACCAACTCCATCACTCCTTTCTTGTTTCACATTTGCACTCAGCAGGCCAGTCTGGCACCTTACTGAGTAACTAACCGAACAAGTAACAAAGGATAACTATTTTAGAAATATTGTATCTCATGTATAAATTGGTCTTTTTTTCTACAGGGAAAACTAATGTTGCAATTATTAAAATCTATCTCTAGAACCACATTTATAAGGTTTCTATCACATAACCAACTGTAATAGTGATAAGGTATATAAAGTCACAAGACATAGTCCGCTCCCTGTCTCAGAGCAGGAATGACATGTAAATAAGGAAACTTAAGGGGAAGAAATAAGAGGAAAGAAAGAGAAAGAGATGGAAAGGAAAGGGAAAGAAAGGGGAAAGGGAAGGGGAAGGGAAGGAGCTTCAGAGGGCTATAGCAGGCATTTGTATGTAGAATATTTGAGGAACAATGGATGAATACTCGATCCTACTAGACCATCAGAACTCAGACATCTAAAGGGCCAAGGAAAGATTTCAGAAGATGTTAACTGTTCACGAATAGCAAATGAACAAGAGCATATGTCATTTTGAGTTAAAAAATGAAATATGGCCGGGCGCAGTGGCTCACGCCTGTAATCCCAGCACTTAGGAAGGCCAAGGCGGGCGGACCACGAGGTCAGTTCGAGACTATCCTGGCTAATATGGTGAAACCCCGTCTCTACTAAAAAACACAAAAAATTAGCCAGGCACAGTGGTGGGCGCCTGTACTCCCGGCTACTCGGGAGGCTGAGGCAGAATTGCTTGAACCTGGGAGGCGGAGGCTGCAGTGAGCCAAGATCATACCACTGCACTCCAGCCTGGGTAACAAGAGTGAAACTCCATCTCAAAAAAAAAAAAAAAATTCTAATTGCTGGCTAAATCACTATTATAGAAAACATTATAGTGAACATTTTTTAATATAAAAAAATTCTGTCCTCATTTTATAATACCTAGGTCAGACAGTAATGGGGAGAAACAATTAGTGGGTCAAAAAGTATAAACTTTTAAAGCCTTCATATACTCTATTAAATTGATATCCCGTAAGACTGTATCATATGTAATGAGAATGACTACTTTATCAAAATCTTATCATCACTGGGAATTCTTATTTAATAGGTAAAATACCTTGACAATTTGACACACATATATATGTATGTGTGTCTCACTCTTGTCGCCCAGGCTGGAGTGCAGTGGCGCGATCTTGGCTCACTGCAAGCTCCGCCTCCCGGGTTCACGCCATTCTCCTGACTCAGCCTCCCGAGTAGCTGGGACTACAGGAGCCCGCCATCACTCCCGGCTAATTTTTTGTATTTTTTAGTAGAGACGGGGTTTCACCATGTTAGCCAGGATGGTCTCGATCTCCTGACCTCATGATCCACCCACCTTGGCCTCCCAAAGTGCTGGGATTACAGGCATGAGCTACCGTGCCCAGTCCAATTTTTTTGTTTTTAAGACAGGGTCTCACTCTTCGCCCAGGCTGGAGTACACTGGCTCAATCATAGCTCACTGCAGCCTCCAACTCCCAGGCTCATGTGATCCTCCCATCTCAGCCTCCTGAGTAGCTAGGACTACAGGCATGCACCACCATACCTGGCTAATTTTAAGTAGAGACGAGGTCTTGCTATGTTGCCCAGGCTGCTCTCTAACTCCTGAGCTCAAGCAGTCCTCCCACCTTGGCCTCCCAAAGTCCTAGGACTATAGGCATGAGCTACCACACCCGGCCCATAATTTCAGTGTTTATTTCTTCTGCTGTTAGTAGTAAGGCCAAACCGTCGTTACTATTTGGTTAGTTGTAACTACCTTTTTGAGACAGTCTCGCTCTGTCGCCCAGGCTGGAGTGCAGTGGAGCGATCTTGGCTAACTGCAACCTGTCTCCTGGGTTCAAGCGAATTTCCTGCCTCAGCCTTCCAAGTAGCTGGGACTACAGGCGCACGCTGCCATGCCCAGCTAATTTTTTTGTATTTTAGTAGAGATGGGGTTTCTCCGTGTTGCTCAGGCTGGTCTTGAACTCCTGAGCTCAGGCAATCCACCCGCCTCGGCCTCCCAAAGTGCTGGGATTACAGGCGTGAGCCACCGTGCCCGGCCGATTGGTTATACTTTTGTAAATGAAACTTAATATCTGTAACTTACTTTGAAATAACCCTTAGGATAGAGGCATCTACCTAAATCTACCTATATTGCAACTATCTTATCTTTCTGTAGGTGGTTTATACAACGGTCATTTTATTGTGTCCGGAACAAAGGCAACTTAAAAACAACTCTTTTCCTAATTAAAAAAGCACAACATTAAAAGGTAATAATATTTTTACTGTGAAAAAAATTTTTTAATGAAATACGTAATTTATAAAATGAAAAGCTTGTATATTCCCACACTCCTGGAAAGCCAATTTTAAATACATCAAGGAAAGCCCAATTTAAATGAATCCTCTACTGAATTCTTTTGCAGTATAGATTCACCCTATCAATTACTAGTTTTGTCAATCAGTATTTCACACATAACCTCCGTTTAAAGGTAAGACACACACTTTTCATTCTCCAAGAACAAAAATTGTTCAAGCACAAGGTGATGTACTGACATCAACTCAGTTAGTGACACCCGACTTTCTCAAATTCACCATCAAACTTACCTGGCAGCATGCCTCTCAGGAGCCACAATGATATTTTATTCCAATTCTGTCTTTTAAGATTTAGAACCAAATCACACGTTTCAGAGTACCTCCTGTCCCTCTTCATAGGCCCTCATTTTCAGGATCTTTTAATTTTCTTCACCCTATTAAGTCTGCTTTTTTTTTTTGAGACAGAGTGTGGCTCTGTCGCCCAGGCTGGAGTGCAGTGGTGCAATCTCGGCTCACTGCAAACTCCGCCTCCCGGGTTCATGCCATTCTCCTGCTTCAGCCTCCCGTTAAGTCTGCTTTTAACAAAAAATTACCTTAATTGTAGCATCCTCTGAAGCAGAGACCATAACACTGAACACAGGATGGAAAATGACTCGAGTGACTGGACTCCTGTGACCACTCAATGCATATTTTTCTGGCGGACGGGGAATCCATTCTTTTGGGTCTCGTTTCTGACCAAGAGGTCCACCTGACGTAAATTCTTCTTTTGCTTCATTTAGCTTTGATTCTAATTCCATAACCTTGAAAAAGAACATGTAGTTACGTACAGATAGATTTCAATAAAAATAGCATGTGACATTTTAAAAAACTGCCTTTATTTTGCAACTATGTATGTAGGATACTTGAAAAAATTTCAGTAATCTCCAAAGCATTTGTCAAATTTAAATGAAAATTATTTATTTTGTACAGCATCAAAATCTAAGTCATGTGAGGAAACTAAAAATTGAGAAAAATTCAGTACAATTGCCTTAACTCTTTAACAAAAAGAAAAATTTCGATTTGTATCTGGTGACAGAGTCCTCTACTAATTAGAGAAGGGCAGTGAATTTGTCTTGGTCCCTCTAAGGCTGCTACTCTTAGTAAGTTCTTTCCAAACCACATTATATATGGTAATAATAATATTAATAAAAGCTAATATTTATTGAGCATCTACTATGTGCTAAGCATTTTTCTAAGAGCTTTATATGATGAACTCATAACAATGTTATTTACTTATTCTAACTTTGCCTATGAAGTATCCATTTTAGGACTGGAATATTATTTGTTGTATTTACAGATAAAAATAAAAGCTCAGAGATAAAAACAACTTGTCTACGAGCACATTTTAGTGTTCTTTTCCCAGCATTAATCACAATGGCTCCATGTATTCTTTCCTTCTAAGTGCACAAATGAGTTCTTTCAGTATCAATTCCTCAAAGTCAGGACTATGCAGATTGAACCCAGTCAGCAACTCCAGATATGTGAATTACCATGTATCTGCAATAATATGCCTAGGTCATACTTTTCATGAAGCACAAAAAATGTATTTTTATTTGCTTTTTAAAGATTAGATGCAATTATTAATTAATGCAGAAGAATGTTATTTTCAGAAAGTTTATATAACTGAATACAACTAATTTTAAAGAAAAAAGACTTAGTTACCTTCTTTTGTAATCTAATAACAGATGTCCATTTTTTTTCCAAAAGACCAGCATACTTTTTATCTAATTCTTCATTCTAGAGAAAATAAATTTAGAATTTTTAAAAAATGGCTTAACTATGATCCTCAAGACAAAGATCATTCATCTTTAAGTCCAAATATTACTAAAAATCTGATTATAAAAAAAGGGAGTGGCTGGGCATGGTGGCTCACCTGTAATCCCAGCACTTTGGGAAGCTAAGGCGGGTGGATCACCTGAGGTCTGGAGTTTGAGACCAGCCTGGCCAACATGGCGAGACCCCGTCTCTACTAAAAATACAAAAATTAGCTGGGTGTGGTGGTGCGTGCCTGTAATCCCAGCTACTCGGAAGGCTGAAGTAGGAGAATCGCTTGAATCTGGGAGGCAGAGGTTGCAGTGAGCCGAGATCACGCCACTGCACTCCAGCCTGGGAGACAAAGTGAGACTCCATCTCAAAAATTAAAATAAAAAATAAAAAAAAAAGGAGTGAAAATCAAGTTCAGTACCAAGTAGACCACAATAACAAATGACAAAATTGTGCGTAACTGTTAACTACAGATACTTGAGTGAAAATCCACTCATTAACTATACTTTGAATTGTAAAAAGTAAAACATACCACATCTAATTCAGCTTCCTTTTTAAAAACTGAATATGCCTCTTCATAGCCATTTGAACGAAGATAATCTGCTATAGCTCGATTTCTGAAAGAAAAATTCAAATGACTCCTAAAAAAAAGACCTCATTTCTATTCTGAAGAAATAGAATTTATTTAAAATCTCATTAACCCTGAAGATACTCTTTTCAAGAGTATTCCCTTTCAAATCATACAAGTATTTCATTAAAAAGGACACCCCCGCAAAGCCTCCAGAACTTTTAGCCCCTGTCATACTACATCCATAATATTATATTCTTAGTTATAAGTTTTTCTTTCTTTTTTTTAACATCAGAAGAGAAACTTCATATTTATAAGTTTCAAATGTGTTGCTTACCTCACAAGCTGTAGGCACTCTATAGATCAAGCTATGGCTCTGTGACAGCAACCATCAATTTTGCTAACATTTACATTTAGTCTTTCTTTACCACTTGTTATACACTCAAGGGCTGACAGCTGGAATTTAGTTTTGCAGAGAAAAGTTTTGAGAAAACTAAAGTATTTTCATATTAGAAATAACTTTGAACCATTGGAGTGGGTGAAAAAAAGCAATCATACAGTATAAACTTAGTGTACTGTCGTAGAATGAGACATTCATTTAGAATTAGAACTTGAAGGTTAGAGAAGCTGAATTAGCCTTTTCATGTTTGCCTTCTACAGTTTGAGTACCCTTTATACAAAATGCTCGGGACCAAAAATGTTTTGGGCTTTATAGATGGAGAGAGAAAGAGAGAGAGAGAGAGAGAGAGAGAGAGCGATAGATAGATATAGATATATATCACAAAGTCAGGAGTTGGAGACCAGCCTGGCCAACATGGTGAAACCCCGTCTCCACTAAAAATACAAAAATTAGCTGGCGTGGTGGCAAGCCCCTGTAATCCCAGCTACTCGGGAGGCCAAGGCAGAAGAATTGCTTGAACCCGGGAGGCGGAGATTGCAGTGAGCCAAGACCGCATCACTGCACTCTAGCCTGGGCAACAGAGCAAGATTCCTTCTCAAAAAAAAAAAAAAAAGGCCAGGTGTGGTGGCACATGCCTGTAATCCCACCTACTTGGGAAGCTGAGGCAGGAGAATCACTTGAACCTGGGAGGTGGAGGCTGTGGTGAGCCCAGTTCGTGCCACTGCACTCCAGCCTAGGCAACAACAGCGAAACTACGTCTCAAAATACAAAACAAAACACACTCCAGTAGTATTGTATAACTGGTGGGATTACTGGCTTTAATTCAATGGTATGTTTAAAACAAATCAGCAAAGAAAGATAACAGGGAATTACCAGCAAAAACTTTATGTTCCAGGTAATTATGAGCATGCCAAAAATCAACGTATAATAATTACAGGGTTAGGCCAGCGCAGTGGCTCACGTCTGTAATCCCAGCACTTTGGGAGGCCGAGGCGGGCAAATCACAAGGTCAGAAGTTCAAGACCAGAGGCTGGGAGCGGTGGCTCACGCCTGTAATCTCAGCACTTTGGGAGCCCGAGGTGGGCGCATCACGAGGTCGGGAGCTCGAGACCAGCCTGGCCAACATGGTGAAACTCCATCTCTACTAAAAATACAAAAATTAGCCAGGTGTGGTGGTATGCGCCTGTAGTCCCAGCTACTTGGAAGACTGACGCAGAATTGCTTGAACCCGGGAGGCAAAGGTTGCAGTGAGCTGAGACTGCACCACTGCACTCCAGCCTGGGAAACAGAGTGAAACTCTGTCTCAAAAAAAAAAAAAATCCAGAGAATTTTAGCACTACCACCTTTGATGCCCTGCCTCTCAATATTTAAGCCAACAATCTGATCCAGTTAATGTAGAACCTTTAACTTCAGCAAGGTGTACTACCGTTACTAAAAGTAATAAGTTAAGTAAAGACTGAAGAACCTCAGCAGGTGGCAGTGGCTCACACCTGTAATCCCAGCACTTTGGGAGGCTGAGGCGGGAGAATGGCTTGAGCCTGGCAGGTTGAGGTTGCAGCAAGCTGTGAGTGAGCCCCTGCATTCCAGCCTGCCTATCAGAGCAAGACCCTCTCTCAAAAAAACAACAAACAAAACAAAACAAAAACCCACAAAACTCTTGGTTCTAACAGCCTAAAGGGTGCTTCTGGGGCTTGCTACTAATCTCAGTTGTTGACCTAGAGTTGATTTTCATCAGCTTTATTTTATTTTATTTTTTGCTCTGTTGCCCAGGCTGGAGTGCAGTGGTGCGATCTCCACTCACGACAAGCTCTGCCTCCTGGGTTCACACCATTCTCCTGCCTCAGCCTCCCCAGTAGCTGGGACTACAGGTGCCCGCCACCACGCTTGGCTCTTTCTTTCTTTATTTAGAGACAGAGTTTCACTCTTATTGCCCAGGCTGGGGTGCAATGGCGTGATCTTGGCTCACCACAACCTCTGTCTCCCAGGTTCAAGCGATTCTCCTGCATCAGCCTCCAGAGTAGCTGGGATTACAGGCAGGTGCCACGATGCCCAGCTAATTTTGTATTTTTAGTAGAGACGGGGTTTCTCCATGTTGGTCAGGCTGGTCTTCTCAAACTCCTGACCTCAGGTGATCCGCCCACCTTGGCCTCCCAAAGTGTTGGGATTACAGGCGTTAGCCACTGTACCTGGCCTCATCAGCTTTATTAAGGATGGAATCTTCACCTCTTTGAAACCAGTCACTAGAATTAAAGAGAAATTCACACAGAAGTAAAATGGAGTAGACCAAAACCAGTAATACTATAAAGAATCAGAGAAGGCTGGGCGCAGTGGCCTACGCATGTAATTCCAGCACTTTGGGAGGCCCAGGAGGGCAGATCACTTGAGGACAGGAGTTCAAGAGCAGCCTGGCCAACATGGTGAAACCCCATCTCTACTAAAAATACAAAAAATTAGCCGGGTATGGTGGCAGGAGCCTGTAATCCCAGCTACTTGGGAGGCTGAGGCAGGAGAATTGCTTGAATCTGGGAGGCAAAGGTTTCGGTGAGCCAAGATTGCGTCACTGCACTCCAGCCTGGATGACAGAGTGAAACTCCGTCACACACACACACACACACACACACACACACACACACACACACACAAAGAGGTTAAAAAAATAAAAATGGTTAAGAAAAATAAAAAAGAAAATGGTTAAAATCAAAACTGAGATGAAGGACTTTTATCCATGAGCAAACAGATCCTAAGCTAGACACAGCCTAGGCTTAAATATCAAACTATTACAAACATAACGAATGAAATTATTTTCTAAACTATTACAAGTTTATGAAAATGCCAGCATTCGATTTTAAGCACTTTAGCTGACTTCCTACATTCTTTTCATTTGTTTTTATCCCCTAGGGTAATTTCTGCAGCTGTAATACTAGTCATAACACCTCATCAATACCACCCATAAGATTTTTTTTTTTTTTTTTTTTTTTGAGATGGAGTCTCCTCCAGGCTGGAGCGCAATGGCGCAAGCTCGGCTCACTGCAACCTCCGCCTCCTGGGTTCAAGCAATTCTCCTGCCTCAGCCTCCTGAGTAGCTGGGATTATAGGCACCCACCACCACGCCCAGCTAATTTTTTGTATTTTTTTGTAGAGATGGGGTTTCATCACGTCAGCCTCCCAGAGTGCTGGGATTACAGACATGAGCCACCACGCCTGGCCAATAATAGTATTTTACAAACTGTATACTCTAGCATTCTAAGAATGAAAAAGTTCTAAGAGTTCCGTAACCATTTTAATTTCATTGCTCATATGAAGAAAAAACAAGGTTAAGTCAAAGGCTGATGAACTGAGATGTTTTCTTACTAGACCCATTTAAAGAGATACACTAATAGCCAGGACAATCCTAAGCAAAAAGAACAAAGCTGGAGGCATCACACGTACTACCTGACTTCAAACTATACTACAAGGCTACAGTAACCAAAACAGCATGCTACTGGTACCAAAACAGACACACAGACCAAGGGAACAGAACAGAGACCTCAGAAATAACACCACATATCTACAAACATCTGATCTTCAACAAACCTGACAAAAACAAGCAATGGGGAAAGGATTCCTTAATTAATAAATGGTGCTCAAAAAACTGGTTAGCCATATGCAGAAAACTGAAACTGGACCCCTTCCTTACACCTTATACAAAAAATAAGTCAAGATGGATTAAAGACTTACATGTAAAACCCAAAACCATAAAAATCCTAGAAGAAAACCTAGGCAATACCATTCAGGCATGGGCAAAGATTTCTTGATGAAAATGCCAAAAGCAACTGCATCAAAAGCTAAAATTGACAAGTGGGATCTAATTAAACTCAAGAGTTTCTGCACAGCAAAATAAACTATCATCAGAGTGAACATGCAACCTACAGAACGGGAAAAAAAAACCATCAAAAAGTGGGCAAAGGATATGAACAGACACTTCTCAAAAGAAGACATTTATGTGGCCAAAAAACATATGAAAAAAAGCTCAACATCACTGATCATTAGAGAAATGCAAATCAAAACCACAATGAGATACTATCTCACACCAGTCAGAATGGCGATTATTATAAAGTCAAGAAACGAAAGATGCTGGCAAGGCTGTGGAGAAATAGGAATGCTTTTACACGATTGGTGGGAATATAAATTAGTTCAACCATCATGGAAGATAGTGTGGTGATTCCTCAAGAATCTAGAAGCAGAAATACCATTTGACCCAGCAATCCCATTACTGGGTATATACCCAAAGGAATATAAATCATTTTGCTATAAAGACACATGCACACATGTTTACTGCAGCACTATTTACAACAGCAAAGACATGGAACCAACCCAAATGCCTATCAATGACAGACTGGATAAAGAAAATGTGGTACACATACACCATGGAATACTATGCAGCCATAAAAAGGAATGAGATCATGTCCTTTGTGGCGACATGGATGAAGCTAGAAGCCACCATCCTCAGCAGACTAACACAGGAACAGAAAACCAAGCACCGCATGCTCTCACGCATAACTGGGAGTTGAACAATGAGAACACATGGACCACAGGGAGGGGAACAACACACACCCGGGCCTGTTGGTGGGGGTGGGGGTTGAGGGGAGGGAGAGCATCAGGACAAATAGCTAATGCGTGTGGAGCTTAAAACCTAGGTGATGACTTGATAGGTGCAGCAAACCACCATGGCACACATTTACCTATGTAACAAACCTGCACATTCTGCACATGTATCCCGGAACTTAAAGTAAAATAAAAATTAAAAAAAAAAAAAGATACACTGAAAAGGCTAAGCTTGCATATTCAGGGCAGCAATGGAGATAACATGCATTCCTCTAAAAGGTCCAGGGGCCCAACAAATCTGAGATGTCTGCAGGGCTGTTGAAGGCTCTGGGAAGGTAACACAAAAGACCAGGCAGTATCAAGCATGACACCACCAGAAGCACACATGGAGTCATCCTTAGTACCCTCCTCCAAAAGACATCTCTCACACCACCCCGGGCTATACTGTTTTAGATAACAAGATGAAACTATATAGTCTTGGGAGAGAATGTGATTAAAATTTATTTCCAGGGCAGAGATATACAGGGGATCATTCCCTAAGCTGCAGCCACAGGATATCAATCAAGTCTCAAACAGGTAACAAGGCTTCCTAATTTTTTTTTGAAACGGAGTCTCACTCTGTCACCCAGGCTGGAGTGCAGTGGCATGATCTCGGCTCACTGAAGCCTGTTTCCTGAGTTCAAGTGATTCTCATGCCTCAGCCTCCTGAGTAGCTGGGATTACAGGTGAGCACCACCATGCCCAGCTAATTTTTTTTTTAATATTTTTAGTGGAGACGGGGTTTCACTGTGTTGGCTAGGCTGGTCTCAAACTCCTGGCCTCATGTGACCTGACTGCCTTGGCCTCCCAGTGCTGGGATTACAGTCATCAGCCACCACGCCCAGCCAAGGCTTCCTTTTTTTTTTTTTTTTTTTTTGGCGAGGCAGTCTCACTCTGTCGCCAGGCTGGAATGCAGTGGCACAATCTCAGCTCACCACAACCTCACGATTCTCCTGGCTCAGCCTCCCGAGTAGCTGGGACTACAGGCGTGTGCCACCATGCCCAGCTAATTTTTGCATTTTTAGCAGAGACGGGGTTTCACCATATTGGCAAGGATGGTCTCGATCTCTTGACCTTGTGATCCGCCCGCCTTGGCCTCCCAAAGTGCTGGGATAACAGGCGTGGGCCACTGTACCTGGCCTTTTTTTTTTTGAAACGGAGTCTTATTCTGTCATCCAGGCTGCAGTGTGGCAATCTCGGCTCACTGCAACCTCCCCCTCCTGGGTTCAAGCGATTCTCCTGCCTCAGCCTCCTGAGAAGCTGAGACTACAGGCACGTGCCATTAGGCCCAGCTAATTTTTGTATTTTTAGTAGAGACGGGGTTTTGCCATGTTGGCCAGGGTGGTCTTGAATTCATGATCTCAAGTGATTCGTCCACCTTGGCCCAAAGTGCTGGGATTACAGGTGTGAGCCACTGTGTCCAGCCAAGACTTCCTAAACTTTTATGCTACAATACCCTACTGACTCTTCAGGGAAAGGGCAGCACAGATGTGATGAGTTCCTGGCCATAGGTCTTATACTTCTCCAACCTCACGTACCCTAAGAAATCTGTCTGACAAATTGATTGCCATTACCATCCTTCACCATCACATTCTAAGATAACTACTTCCAAAAGGTAGTTCAGGATTTAACTACTACCAGTCTTAGGACAAGTACAAGTTCAGCAAGAGGTTATAATGAGACCTTATCCATGGCAGAGACAAAGTGAAGAAGAATGTAATTCAGGCAATGCAGGGTGAGTGGACCTTTATCTTCCCCATCAAGCAAAAAGAACCCTGTACCCAGTATACTAGCCTGCTCGATTCCATTTCTTTTCATCAGACGGCTGGGTCTCAGATGACATCCTGATATACCCTCCAGCCCACAGTTGCAACAAAAGCCAAAAATGATCTACCAGTTAAGTATATCACACTGCACTTTTTAAAAAGCAAAACCAAATAAATAAACAAAAAATATGCATTACTGTTCATTCTCGTATTTCGATTAAATTTCTTGAGTAATGGAAACACAAAACAGAGGGCAGTCACTAAACAGTTGTTTTCAGCCTCCACCCTTATTTATCTGTGTTTCCCTCTTTACCCTTTTAACCTGTTAAGAAAAATAACATTACTGAAAACTAAAATACTTAAAGGTCTAAGAGAGAAAGGGGGTTGGGGGAGAGGGAGAGAGAATGTCACACTAACCCAGCTGAACTCCTAATTATGTTGTTTTAAAGTTACTATATTATTGACTGACACTTAGAAAAAAACTGCATGGCCTGCTACAGGCCAGAGGTCAGCTACGTTTCCAGAGAGGAGGAGATTTTGCCTTAGTTGTTCAGCATAATTTACAACTGTGAGATCCACTCAGGATATATTCCTATAAAAATATTTTGCATTATTTCAAAAACTCATAAGGCAAAGTCAGGTTGTACAATAGGAAAGATACACAATACAACTGTCATGTATTGAATAGTTTGAAACATTTATATTTTTAAAATGTAAAGCAAAATTTCACTATAAAACATGTAAAGAAAAAAGGAAAGAGGAAGAAGGGATGAGTGCTTGTTATTTCCAGTTTTATACCAAGGAATATAAAAGAAGGTTAAGTTATATATGGTCCCTTGCCTCCTAGGATCTTGTAAACCTATCTGAGGAGCAAAATAAAAGCTACTGAAGTCTATGAAATTTAATTCAAAGACGAGAGAAATGAGACTGAATGGAAGAATCTTTTTATAAAGGCGAGATGCGAGGACTTAAAGGAAATAGTAAGTATTACCTAGGCAGGGAGCTGAGCTGGACCAAGTGAATCAGAATGGTACATTATGGAGATCTCAATGTTTACCTAAAAACATCTGATCAAATTCAACATTCTTGGCCAGGCGTGGTAGCTCACGCCTGTAATCCCACCACTTTGGGAGACTGAGGTGGGTGGATCACTTGAGGTCAGGAGTTTGAGACCAGCCTGGCCAACATGGTGAAACCTCAGCTCTACTAAAAATACAATATTAGCCGGGCACGGCGGTGGACACCTGTAATCCCAGCTACTTGGGAGGCTGAGGCAGGAGAATCACTTGAACCTGGGAGGTGGAGTATTGCAGTGAGCCAAGATGGCGCCACTGCCTTACAGCCTGGGTGACACAGTGAGACTCTTGTCTCAAAAAACAGAAACAAATTCAACATTCTTGATTTTTAAACATTCCTCATTAACGGAAAGGTCTTCATTAAGAATGTTCATTAACATCAGGAAAAAAGAAATCTCTCAAACCTTCAACCAATAAATCTAATAGTTAATGGCAGAACACTAGAAACACTTGTGTCAAAGAACAAGGCAAAGATGCTATAATCATTCCTATTACTTAAAACTGCTCTAGTGAAGCTGAGGCAGGAGAATGGCGTGAACCTGAGAGGCGCAGCTTGCAGTGGGCCCAGGCTGCGCCACTGCACTCCAGCCTGGGCTACAGAGCGAGACTCTGTCTCAAAAAAAAAACTGCTCTAAATCAGGTGGCATTAAAATAATGAGAGAAATGGCTAGAAACAGAAACAGACTATGTAGGACATTCAAGGCAAGAAAAAGCAATTGAATGAAAACAGTAATTTTAAAAGACCTATTTATCAGAAGTGTCAGAAGTATACAGGCAGATTACATGAAACAGCAAACTAAACAAAGGAAGACCACTGTATAGTAAGTCAAGCCCTAAAAAACAATGAAGATCCCTTAAAATCAGGTCATATTCATAATAGGCATCCCCAGAATTATCTGATTAAATATAGCTTCCAATTGTTGATGGAGCAGTTTTTACTCTGCACTGAAGAGCAGGATATTCAATTATCTACAATACTGCTAATAATGTATTTATATTTTTAGAATTAGGATAGGTCAAGTCATAGTATATGGTAGTCATTCACTGCCACCTGATGAATCATTTACTTGTCCCGGGCCCCTTTCCTCACTCTTTGAAAAAAAAAAAAGATGAGGTCTTGCTCTGTCACCCAAGCTGGAGTGCTGTGGCACAATCATGGCTCACTGCATCCTCAAGCTCCTGGGCTCAATGGATCCTCCTGCTTCAGCCTCCTGAGTAGCTGGAACTACAGGCACATGCCACCATGATGGGTTAATTTTTTTTTAAAGTAGAGATAGGGTCTCAATATGTTGTCTAGACTGGTCCTTTTTTCCCTTTTAAATAGCTAATTGTGGCCAGGCGCAGTGGCTCACGCCTGTAATCCCAGCACTTTGGGAGGCTGAGGCGGGCAGATCACGAGGTTAGGAGTTCGAGACCAGCCTGGCCAACATAGTGAAACCCCGTCTCTACTAAAAATACAAAAAAAATTAGCCGGGCGTGGTGGCAGATGTCTGTAGTCTCAGTCACTTGGGAGGCTGAAGCAGGAGAATCACTTGAACCCAGGGGCGGAGGTTGCAGTGAGCCGAGATCGTGCCACTGCACTCCAGCCTGGGTGACAGATGGAGACTCAGTCTCAAAACAAACAAAACAAAACGAAAACCACCTAATTGCATCCCATCCTTCAGCTGACCTCCAACTCCACACAGAAAATAGAAGCTACTCAGCATATAACTTTCTCAATGTAGTTTCCTGTATTTGTGGCACTGCTTTCCTCTTCTATTTTTTTTTTTTTCACATCGGTCGGGTAATGTGACGACATTGTAACAAGGCTGGAGGGTGGTACATCTTACACATGTGTGTGAACACCCTGTCGTCACACGTAGCAACTACAAAAGAATCTCCCTTCCTCTTCTGTGATGTGTTTTCTCTTTCTTGAGACAGGGTCTTGCCATGTCACCTAGGCTGGAGGGCTGTGGCACAATCTCAGCTTATTGCAACCTCTGCCTCCGGAGTAGCTGGGATTACCAGGCATGTGCCACCACACCCAGCTAATTTTTATATTTTTAGTGGAGACATGTTTTCTCCATGTTGGTCAGGCTGATGTTGAATTCCTGACTTCAGGTGATCCACCTGCTTCGGCCTCCCAAGGTGCTGGGATTACAGAAGTGAGCCACTGTGCCTGGCCTACGATGTGTCTTCTCTTTCTAATACAATTCTCTAGAATACCCTCCATCTTTCAGTGAAATGCAATGTGATGTGGTATGTAAAAGGGCTTTGTATGAATTCTCCAGAAAGTCAACAATTTTGACCTTGATCATATCTTGATCATCTTTATAGATGCCTACATTTCACTCTTATAAACACACACACACACACACACACACACACACACATATATGTATATATATATTTTTTAAATGATCAGCAATTTCATTCTGGAAATCAAAAATTTCCAAAGAATAAAAAAATCTAACACAAGCTGGGCATGGTGGCTCACACCTGTAATCCCAGCACTTTGAAAGGCCAATGCGGGAGGATTGTTTGAGCCCCAGAGTTATGAGCTATGATCATGCCATTGCACTACTCCAGCCTGAACCCTGTCTCTTTTAAAAAAAAAAAAAAGAAGAAAAAAAAAAGCCACGCAGGGTGGCTCACACCTGTAATTCCAGCACTTCGAGAGGCTGAGGCAGGCAGACTGCTTGAGCCCAGGAGTTCAAGACCAGCCTGGGCAACATGGCAAAAATCTGTCTCTATAAAAAATAGAAAAATTAGCTAGGCATGGTGGCACACACCTGTAGTCCCAACAACTTGGGAGGCTGAGGTGAGAGGATGGTTTGAGCCCGGGAGGCGGAGGCTGCAGTGAACTGAGATTGAGCCACTGCACTCCAGCCTCGGTAACAGAGCCAGACACTATCTCAAAAAACAAACAAAAACTAACACAAACTGAGAATATTTTAATCCTCCTCTGAAGACTCAGAGGGCCTTTTTAATTTTTTACCTTAAGGCAATAATTAGAAACAACCGTCACTGCATAGAAAGTGAAAATATAGACAATATGATTATAGATTCCATCATTATCAAACTTTTAAAGTTGAAAAGACAGACCGAGTGGAGTGGCTCATGCCTGTAATCCCAACACTTTGAGAGGCTGAGGCGGGCGATCACCTGAGGTCAGTTTGAGACCAGCCTGGCCAACATGGTGAAACTAAAAATACAAAAATTAGCTGGGAGTGATGGTGCGTGCCTGTAATCCCAGCTATTCAGGAGGTTGAGGCAGGAGAATTGATTGAACCTGGGAGACAGGGGTTGCAGTGAGCCAAGACAGCACCATTGCACTTCAGCCTAGGCGATAAGAGCAAAACTGTCTTTAAAAAAAAAAAAAAAAAGGTTTAAAAGACAACAGGGACCTCAACATGTAAGCTGGATAGAAGCAGCATATTAAATAGTTTATATTTAAATGTATAGTGACTGGCCGGGCATGGTGGCTCACGCCTGTAATCCCAGCACTTTTGGAGGCCGAGGCGGGTGTATCACCAGGTCAGGAGATTGAGACCATCCTGGCTAACATGGTGAAACCTGTTCCTACTAAAAATAGAAAAAATTAACCGGGCATGGTGGCACGCGCCTGTAATCCCAGCTACTTGGGAGGCTGAGGCAGGAGAATCACGTGAACCCAGGAGGTGGAGGTTGCAGTAAGCCGAGATTGCGCCACTGTACTCCAGCCTGGGCAACAGAGTATAAGACTCGGTTTCAAAAATAATAATAAATTTAAAAAATAAAAATAAAAAATGTATAGTTACTTTGACAATCAATGAAAATATATAGCTGTTTTTATAAATATAACCATCTGAAATTTAGATTATAGTTATAGTCTTATTTCAACCTTACTATCCAAATTCATTCGTGTACTTTGTTTTTGTTGCCCTATATTAACAAAATTCAAATTCACACAGGTAAACAGTGCAAACAGTCCCTGGATTTAAACAGCTCAACTTGCAGTCTCAGAGTATTCTTCAATTAAACTGAGCCAGAAGATTTAAAAAGGAGTGGAAAATACCTGTTTGAAAGCTGAGTCACTAACAAGATCTAAAAATTACTTTCATGCCTTATTATAGATCACAAAGTCAGGCAAAAAGTACCCAAATCTTTTTTTTTTTTAATACTTTTAAGTTCTAGGGTACATGTGCACAACGTGCAGGTTTGTTACATATGTATACATGTGCCATGTTGGTGTGCTGCACCCATTAACTCGTCATTTACATTAGGTATATCTCCTAATGCTATCCCTCCCCTCTCCCCTCACCTCACGACAGGCCCTGGTGTGTGATGTTCCCCTTCCTGTGTCCAGCTGTTCTCATTGTTCAATTCCCACCTATGAGTGAGAACATGTGGTGTTTGGTTTTTTGTCCCTGCAATAGTTTGCTGAGAATGATGGTTTCCAGCTTCATCCATGTCCCTATAAAGGGCACAAACTCATCCTTTTTTATGGCTGCATAGTATTCCACGATGTATATGTACCACATTTTCTTAATCCAGTCTATCGTTGTTGGACATCTGGGTTGGTTCCAAGTCTTTGCTATTGTGAACAGTGCCACAATAAACATATGTGTGCATGTGTCTTTATAGCAGCATGATTTATAATCCTTTGGGTATATATACCCAGTAATGGGATGGCTGGGTCAAATGATATTTCCAGTTCTAGATCCCTGAGGAATCGCCACACTGACTTCCATAACGGTTGAACTAGTTTACAGTCCCACCAACAGTGCAAAAGTGTTCCTATTTCTCCAAATCCTCTCCAGCACCTGTTGTTTCCTGACAAAAAGTACCCAATCTTAAACTAAGCCCTAGAACTATTTGGCATCTAACGCCACTACATGAACATGTGCAGCTATAGTACATTCCCATGTACAACGTGAAGTGCGCGGGCAGGTGCAGACCTTCAGTGTATTTCACACAGGCCAGGGAAAAACCGCTTTCCAATCAATGCCAAATATATATGATGTTCAAACAGATTCACAGGAGAAACCTCAGGACCTCAACTAACTGCAAAAGTCAGTTTTTTAAAGCAATAAAGTAAACAACAACAAAAATGCTTAAAAATATATCACAGTCATGAAAACACATGGAGAAATGTTTTTGGTTTTTGTTTTGTTTTGTTTGAGACGGAGTCTCGCTCTGCCGCCCAGGCTGGAGTGCAGTGGCGCGATCTTGGCTCACTGCAAGCTCCGCCTCCCGGGTTCACGCCATTCTCCTGCCTCAGCCTCCCGAGTAGCTGGGACTACAGGCACCCGCCACCACGCCCGGCCAATTTTTTTTTTTGTATTTTTAGTAGAGACGGGGTTTCACCGTGTTAGCCAGGATGGTCTCGATCTCCTGACCTCGTGATTTGCCCGCCTTGGCCTCCCAAAGTGTGGGATTACAGGCGTGAGCCACTGTGTCTGGCCTAGAAATGTTAAGTACATATTGTTAAGTCAAAGCAGCCAATCTGAAAAGGATACAAGCTATATAATTGTAATTTTCTGGAAAAGACAAAACTATGGTTAACAGTAAAAATATGAGGGGTTTAGGGAGGCAGGGAAGGATGAATAGGGGGAGGCTGAGATTTTTAGGGCAGTGAATTTATTCTGTATGACTGATGGATATATAACATTAGGCATTTGTCAAAACCAACAGAATATACAACAAAAAGAGTAAACCCTAATGTCAACTATGGACTTCAGTAATAATGTGTCAATGTTGGCTCATCAATTATAATAAATACACCACATAAATGTGAGATGTTAACAGTAGGGGAAACTGGGGAAAGGCAAAAAGGCATATGGCACCCTCTACCAAGTCACTCACTCCATTCCCAAATCAAAATTACTACGGAAAACACTTAAGGCTTTTTGGGAAAATAATTTAAGAGAAGCAAGGAGGTTTACAAAACAAAAAATTTAGGAGAATTTATTACCTCATATTGAAATGTATTTTTCTTTTTTTTTTTTTTGAGATGGAGTCTCACTCTGTTACCCAAGTTGGAGTGCAGTGGTGCAAGCTCGGCTCACTGCAGCCTCTACCTCCCAGGCTCAAGAGGTTCTCCTGCCTCAGCCTCCCAAAGTAGCTGGGATTTCAGGCAGGCACCACCATGCCCAGCTAATTTTTTTTTTTTTTTTTTTTTGTAGAGACGGGGTTTTGCCATGTTGGCCAGTCTGGTCTTGAACCCCTGACCTCAGGTGTTCCGCCTGCCTCAGTCTCCCAAAATGCTAGGATTACATACGTGAGCCACCGCACCCGGCCAAAATGTATTATTAATGTAAAGCTACAATAATCAAAAGAATGTTCTTCTGACTCCTGAAAGCACAGCAAGTCCAAAAACCAATGCAAGGTTTTATAAGAAGGTGTTTTCAGATCAATAAGGAAAGGGCTATTCAATAAATGTTTCGGCATGTGGATAATGACTCAGAAAAAGCACTTCGATCCCTTTCTTGCATAATCAACAAACATAAATTCCAGATGGCTTAGACATTACTATAAAAAGAAATGAAAACAAAAAGGTCTTAAGAAAGTAAAAGTGAATACTTATGTAGTCATGATTAGCGAAGGTCTTCCCAAATATGAATCTAAAGGTAGTATCAAGGAAAAGACAGTTTTCACTCTGTGACACTTCTCTGCAACACATGACCATGGGTGACTCAGTACCCTAAAGTCCTCTTAGGAATCGACAAGAAAAATGTAAACACTACAACAGAAAACACAACAAAACAAAAACGTAGCAACACCCCGAACAGGCACTTCACAGAGGAAGAGAATGGCATTATACACACACAAAAAAATGGTTAGAACTCACAATAATTTTAAAGAAAATATTTCTATAAATTGTGGGATTACTTTTATATACCCACATAAAATTTGATTTTTTCAATTAACTTCCTTTTTTTTTTTTTTTTTTTTTGAGACAGAGTCTTGCTCTGTCACCCAGGCTGGAGTGCAGTGGCGCAAGACCTCCCAGGATCCTCCCACTGAGGCCTCCCAGGTAGGTCCCAAGACTGCGCCGACATCCCTGTATTTTTTTTTTTTTTTTAGATGGAGTCTTGCTCTGTCACCCAGGCTGGAGTGCAGTGGTGCAGTCTCGGCTCACTGCAACCTCCAGCTCCCGGGTTCAAGTGATTCTCCTGTCTCAGCCTCCTGAGTAGCTGGGATTACAGGTGCACACCGCCACGTCTGGCTAATGTTCGTATTTTCAGTAGAGATGGGGTTTTGCCATGTTGTCCAAGCTGGTCTTGAACTCCTGACCTCAAGTGATCCACCCGCCTCGGCCTCCCAAAGTGTTGGGATTACAGGCGTGAGCCACTGCACCTGGCTGCCAGACTATTTTTTAAATCAATTTTTTGTAAAGATAAAATCTTGCACCTACGTTGCCCAGGCCGATCTCAAACTCCTTGGCCTCCCAAAGCGCAGGGATTCCAGGCCTAAGCCACAGTGCCTGGCCTGTTTTGAGGCCTTTCTTCACACAGAAGTTTTCTATTTTGATACAGTCAAACTTACCAGTCTTCCTTTTGTTTCTACATTTTATACCTTGAGGAAGTCCACCTCTACCCAAAGGGTATATTTTCTCTACCACTTTATACTGTTATTCTGTATGTGTTCAACATTAAGGCTTTTAATACCACCTTATCCCATGCTAAATTTCATAAATGGGCATGTCTTTGAACTTTGTTCCCCTAACCTATTTGTCTATTCCACATTTTACAATAATATTTGTATATCTGATAGATTCAGGTGCTTTCCCATTTATCATTTAAAATATTTTATTTATTTTTCTCTTCCAAATGATTTTTAAGATCAAGCTGGTCAAGTTAATGAGAAATTTAGTTTGAATTTTGATTGGGATTGCATTTAATTTTATTATTTTAAGAGTTGTGATATCTGTCCAATACTGACTTTTTCATCCAGAAACAAGGAAAATCTTTTCTACTATATTATCCAACAACAAGAACAGTTTATTATTTATTTATTTTGAGACGGAGTCTTACTGTTGCCCAGGCTGGAGTGCAGTGGCACGACATCCGCTCACTGCAACCTCCCCGCCTCCCAGGTTCAAGCGATCCTCCTGCCTCAGCCTCCCAAGTATGTGGGACTACAGGCGCGCACCACCACGGCTGGCTAGATTTTTGTATTTTTAGTAGAGATGGGGTTTCGTCATATTGGCCAGGCTGGTCTTGAACTCCTTATCTTAGGTGATTCACCCGCCTCGGCCTTCCAAAATGCTGGGATTAAAGGTGTGAGCCACTGCACCTGGCCAGGAAGAGTTTATTTTTGTATGCCATCTTGTTTCAGGTTACCATACTAAACCCATTAATTTTTTTTTTTTTTTTTTGAGACAGTCTTGCTTTGTTGCCCAGGCTGGAGTGCAGTGGCATGATCTCGCCTCACTGCAGCCTCTGCCTCCCAGTTTCAAGCAATCCTCCTGTCTCAGCCTCGACATCCCAAAGTGCTCGGGTTACAGGTGTGAGCCACCCCCACCTGGCCCTGAAACCATTAATTGTAATTGTTGATTCCCTTAGGTTGGCTCTGTAGATGCTGTCACCTATAAATGTTTGGCTGCTTCCTTTCCAATAGTTCTAATTCTTTCTGTTGCCTTACTACATGAGCTGGAATCTCAAATATATACTGAAATAGATGCAGAGACACAGGAACTCTTAGTTTCTTGCTGACTTTAATGGGAATGCACCTAGTATTTATATTTTAATGTTTGTTGTAAATTTCTGGTAGGTAGCCATAATCAAGTTAAGAAAATATCCTGTTATTTTCTACAGGGTTTTTTTTTTTTAACCATCAGGAATGGGTATTAAAAATACACCATTTTCTATATTTTGGGTTAATCATATGGTGTTTCACTTTTTTTTTTTTTTTTGAGACAGAGTCTCACTCTGTTGCCCAGCATGGAGTGCAATGGCACGATCTCAGGTCACTGCAACCTCTGCCCCCTGGGCTCATGAGAGTCTCCCACCTCAGCCTCCCAATTAGCTGGGGCTACAGGTGTGTGCCACCACACCCGGCTATTTTTTTGTATTTTTAGTAGGTATGGGGTTTCACCATGTTGGCCAGGCTGGTCTTGAACTCTTGACCTCAAGTGATCCACCCACTTTGGCTTCCCAAAGTGCTGGGATTACAGGTGTGAGCCACCATGCCCGGCCATAAATTTCTTAATGTTGAACCAACCTTGTAATCACGGGAAAAATTATACTTGGTGATAGGGTTTGGCTGTGTCCCCACCCAAACCTCATCTTGAATTGTAGGTCCCATAATCCCCACGTGTGGTGGGAGGGACCCGGTGGAAGGTAACTGGATCATGGTGGTGGTTCCCCCATGCTGTTCTCATGATAGTAAGCTCTCATGAGATCTAATGGCTTAATAAGGGGCTTCCCCCTTCACTCGTCTCTCATTCTTCTCCTTTCTGCCACTATGTGAAGGACGACGTGTGCTTCCCCTTCTGTCATTATTTTAACTTTCCTGAGGCCTGCCAGCCATGTTGAACTGTGAGTCAATTAAACCTCTTTCCTTTATTTATTTATTTATTTATTTATTTTGAGAGAGTCTCACTCTGTTGCCCAGACTGGAGTGCAGCGGCATGATCTCGGATCACTGCAAACTCTGCCTCCCGGGTTCACCCCATTCTCCTGCCTCAGCCTCCCGAGTAGCTGGAACTAAAGGCGCCCGCCACCATGCCCGGCTAATTTTTTGTATTTTTAGTAGAGACGGAGTTTCACTGTGTTAGCCAGGATGGTCTCAATCACCTGACCCCATGATCCACCCACCTCAGCCTCCCAAAGTGCTGGGATTACAGGCGTGAGCCACCTCGCCCGGCTGCCCTCTCTCCTTTATAAATTACCCTGTCTTGGGTATGTTTTTATTAGCAGCATGAGAGTGGATGAATACATTTGGCAATGAGCAATGTTTTTCATATCCGACTGGATTCCACTATTATATTATTTAGTATGTTTAATCTGAGTTCACAGAAATCATTAGACTGTAATCTTCTTGTTTTCCTTTTTGAGACAGGGTCTCACTCTGTCACCCAGGCTGGAATACAGTGGCATGATCTCAGCTCACTGCAATCTCTGCCTCTCAGGTTCAAGTGATTCTCACGCCTCAGCCTTCAAAATAGTAGCTGAGATTACAGGTGTGTGCCACCATGCCCAGCTAATTTTTGTATTTTTATTTTTCTGAGACAGTCTCACTCTGTCTCCCAGGCTGAAGTGCAGTGGCACGATCTCGGCTCACTGCAACCTCCACCTCAAGGGTTCAAGCAATTCTCGTGCCTCAGCTCGCACCTCCCTCACCGCCCCAAGTAGCTGGGACTACAGGTGTGCACCACGACGCCCAGCTAATTTTTGTATTTTTAGTAGAGAAGGGCTTTCTCCATGTTGGCCAGGTTGGCCTTGAACTCCTGACCTCAGGTGATCCACCTGCCTCAGCCTCCCAAAGTGCTGTGATTACAGGCATGAGCCACTGTGCCCAGCCAAATTTATTTTTAATAGAGACAGGGTTTTGCCATGTTGGCTAGGCTGGACTCAAGAGATCCACCCACCTCGGCCTCTCTGAGTGCTGGGGTTACAGGTGTGAGCCACCATGCCTGGCCTCACCCAGTGTTTCTACGAAGGTGGTGCCCACCTTATAAAATAAGCTCCTAAATTTACTACCTTTATGTCCCGGAAAAAGCAATGTAATCTGGGAAGCAAATGGTCCTTAAGATTTGAAAAAATTAGCATCTAGGCTTAAAAACTGCCTGGGCTTGAAATCTTTAATGTTACAATGTTCTCTATATTTAATGATCTATTCAAGTTTCCTACTATTTCTTGAACCAATGTTATCACATATTTTCCTAGAAAAAGCACCCAGGTCATTCAGATTTTCAAATTTATTTATTTATTTTATTATTTTTTGAGACAGAGTCTCACTCTGTTGCCCAGGCTGGAGTGCGCAACCTTGGCTCACTGCAACCTCCACCTCCCAGGTTCAAGCAATTCTCATGCCTCAGCTCCTGAGTAGTGGGGATTACAGGCATGTGCCACCACACCCGGCTAATTTTTGTATTTTTAGTAGAGATGGGGCTTCACCATGTTGGCCAGGCAGGTCTCAAACTCCTGACCTCAAGTGATCCACTGCGCCCAGCAGATTGTTTCAAACCTAATAGGATACCGTACTCTCATAAGTTTGAAAATCATCTGAGTTCATTTTATGTTGAATTTCTCATTCCTATAAAGTTCATTTATGTCTTTTCTCTTTATTAAATTGGTTATAAATTTTCTTAAATTGGTTTTATAAATTTTCTCTTTAAAAAACTGTCTATTTTACTGGTCTTTTTAAAAAGCTAGTTTTTGGTTTTATCAATTAAGTTTACTGGACTATTTTCTATTTTATTAAGGTCTGCTTTTATTTATTATTAATTCTTCCCCTTTCCTGCTTTCTTTAGACTTATTTTGTCGTTCTTATCCTTAAATTGAACACATAGTTCATTTTCTGTCATTTTTATAAAGATTCATTGAAGACTGTATTTTCTGTAGGCTATGTTGGCTGTATCTGATAGGTTTTTGTTATCAGTACCCTCATTATTACTGATGTCTTCAGCTCCTAAGTTTTATTTTAATCTCAACTCCTTAGCTATTTAGAAATATATATATATTTGGCCAGGCGTGGTGGCTCATGCCTGTAATCCTAGCACTTTGGGAGGTCCAGGCGGGTGGATCACGAGGTCAGGAGAGTGAGACCATCCTGGCTAACACAATGAAACCCCGTCTCTACTAAAAATACAAAAAAGTGGCCAGGCGTGGTGGCATGCGCCTGTAGTCCCAGCTACTCGGGAGGCTGAGGCAGGAGAACCCAAGAGGTGGAGGTTGCAGTGAGCTGAGATCGTGCCACTGCACTCCAGCCTGGGGGACAGAGCGAGACTCCGTCTAACAAAAAATATATATATATATATAAATATATATATTTTTGAGACAGGGTCTCCCTCTGTCCCCCAGGCTGGAGTGCAGTGGTGCGATCTCGGCTCACTGCAACCTCTGCCTCCCAGGTTCAAGTGATTCTTGTGCCTCAGCCTCCCGACTAGCTGGGATTACAGGCATGCGCTATCACGCCCAGCTAATTTTTGCATTTTTAGTAGAGGTGGGTTTCACCATGTTGGCCAGGTTGGTCTCCAACTCCTGACCTCAAGTGATCTGCCTCAGCCTCCCAAAGTGCTGGGATGACAGGCATGAGCCACTGCACCCGGCCCCAGATTTACATTTAAATCTTATTATAAGACAAATTTTCTTTGCTTGAAGAACACTTTTGTTTTTGTTTTTTGACAGGATCTTGCTCTGTTGCTGGAGTGGTGTGCAGTGACATGATCATGGCTCACTGCAGCCTCAATCTCCCAAGGTCAAGCAATCCTCTTGCCTCAGCCAGCTGAGTAGCCGGGATTACAGGTGCCTGCCACCACAACCGGCTAATTTTTGTATTTTTTGTAGAGACGGGGTTTCACCAGGTTGCCCACGCTGGTCTTGAACCTCTGTGCTCAAGCCATTCTCTCACTTCGGCCTCCCAAAATGCTGGGATTATAGGTGTGAGTCACCACACCTGGCCTGATGAACATTTTAAATTATTTATCTAAAGCTCTCTATAAATTTAGTCATCTGAAATTAGGTTCTCCTCTTTCACTTTATTTTTATTCAAATTAAAAGCTCTCTTTTGGGCCATAATATCATAATGCTTAAATACTTATCCTGATTATGAAGGTAGTGTGACTGCAGTGAGTTCATACAAAGCATCTGGAAGACAGATCTGAATTGACTCAGAAATAACAATGACTAAAAAAACACATATACCTCCAAATAATACAAAGGTACACATATGCAGGGTTATGTATTACAGTATTATTTGGAGTTACAAAATATTGAAAACTACCTAAATATACCAAACACGGGAGACTGGTTGAATACATTAAGGTATAAGTAGAGAACTAGGTACTACATATACAACTGTTTTATTTATTTATTTATTTTTTGAGATGGAGTCTCACTCTTGTTGCCCAGGCTGAAGTACAAGGGTGTGATCGCGGCTCACCGCAACCTCCGCCTCCCAAGTTCAAGTGATTCTCCTGCCTCAGCCTCCCGAGTAGCTGAGACTAGAGGCGCCCACCACCACGCCCGGCTCATTTTTTGTATTTTTAGTAGAGATGGGGTTTCACCATGTTAGCCAGGCTGGTCTTGGACTCCTGACCTAAGGTCATGCACCCGTCTCGGCCTCCCAAAGTGCTGGGATTACAGGCATGAGTCACTGTGCCCAGCCTACAACTGTTTTAAAAAGAAAAATAAGGAAAAACTTTATGAGCTTATATGGAAAAAGTTCCAGGAGATACTGGATTGGTAAGAAAAAAAAAAAAAAGAGCAAGAGAGGCTCAGTGGCTTGAGCCTGTAATCCCAGCAACTCGGGAGGCTTGGGCCCAAGAGTGAGACCACCGTGGGCAACATAGCAAGACTTCATCTTTACAAAAAAAATCTGTAAATAAAAAATTAGCCAGATGTGGTGGCGGGAGCCTGCAGTCCCAGCTGCTCAGAAGACTGACGTGGGAGGATCTCTTGAGCCCAGAAATTAAATGCTGCAGTGAGCTCTGACTGCGCCACTGTACTCCAGCCTGGGCGAAAGGGGTTGAATCTGTCTTTAACAACATCAAAAAGAGCCAGGTGTGGGCCGGGCACGGTGGCTCACGCCTGTAATCCCAACACTTTGGAAGGCCGAAGCAGGTGATCTGTTGAGGTCAGGAGCTTGAGACCAGCCTGGCCAACATGGTGAAATCCTGTCTCTACTAAAAATACAAAAAATTAGCGGGGTGTGGTGGTGCCTGCCTGTAACCCCAGCTACTCAGGAGGCTGAGACACAAGAATCACTTGAACCCAGGAGGCAGAGGTTGCAGGGAGCTGAGATCACCCCACTGCACTCCAGTCTGGGCAACAGAGAAAGCCTCTGTCTCCGGGGGAAGAGAAAAAAAAAAAAGCCAGGTGTGTTGGCTCACACTTGTAATCCCAGCACTTTGTGAGGCCTAGGTGCAAGCATCACCTGAGCCCAGAGGCAGCCTGGGCAACATAGTGAGACCATCTCTACAAAAACTAAAGAAAAATTAGCTGAGTGTGGCCAGGTGCAGTGGCTCATGCCTGTAATCCCAGCTATTAGGGGGGCAGAGGCAGGAGAATAGCTTGAGCCCAGGAGTTCGAGACCTGCCTGGGCAATATAGCGAGACCCCGTTCTCCACAAAAGGGGGAAAACAAAAAAGGCAAAGGAAAAAATTAGCTGAGCATGGTGGCATGGCATGCACCTGTAGTCCCAGCTACTCGGGAGGCTGAGGTGTAACAATCGCTTTAGCCCAGGAGGTCAAGGCTGCAGTGAGCCATGATCATGCCACTGCACTCCAGTCCAGACTGGAAGACAGAATGAGACTCTTGTCTCCAAAACAAAAAAACAAACAAAGAACATATACAGTATGCTACTTTTATTTAAGAAAGAGGGAGAAATAAGAAGATATATATCTATCTCATATTTTTAAAAACAATAAGCTTGGTTCCCTCAAGGGATGAAAGGAGTTGGGGGTAACATGGTGGAAGGGATTCAGAAGAGAGTAACACTTCTGGGTACATGTTTTTCTATAGATAATGGTTTATATATTAAAAAAATTAAAGATAGGACAGCGGGGAGTGAGGGGGAGGATGAAAACAAGCAAGATGAACCCAACTATATTTCAAATGAGTAATACCATCATGCAAAGAGGGAAAACAACAACAAAACAAATTCTAAGTAACCTATTAACACATTTGATGATCATGTCGTGGGCAGGACAGGCAGGAGCAGAGCTGCATGCGAATTCTCAATCCTTTCCCGGATGTCTGGTCTTCGTGGAAGTATGAGGGAAACAATTCTAAAACTATTTGAGAAGTAGAGGTTGAGTAGCTCTTATCTGAAATGCTTGGGATCAGAAGTATTTCAGATTTCGACATTTTTTCTAAATTATGGAATATTTGCATGTATCTAACGAGGTATCTCGGATATGAGACTCAACCAAGTCTAAACACGAAATTCATTTGTTTCATAAATGCCTTATACATACAGACTGAAGGCAATTTTATTTATTTTTTTCTGAACACTTATCCCCAAGTTCTAATGAAGGTAATTCTATACAAAATTTTAAATAACATTTGCAACTTGTCACATGGGGTCAGTCAGGTGTGGAACTGTCCACTTGTAGTGTCATGTTGGCACTCAAAAAGTTTCAGATTTTGAAGCATTTTGGATTTCTGGACTTGGGCTGCTCATCCTATATTACAGAATTGAGGAAGTGAATCAATCTATTGATATTATTGGGAGTCAGAGTTCTCACTATAGAAGAAGAGGGATACAAATAAATGGTATGAGAGAAGATAAAGAATTCTGTGGGGACAGACCAGAATTAGAAGCATCACTGTAGCCTAATGATTTCTAAAGTTAAGTATGTGGACATGTAGGTACTTATCAGTAGTTTTCAACTGGTGACACTGGCAATGTCTGGAGATAATTTTCTTTGTAGCATCTAGTGGGTGGAAGCCAGAGATGTTGCTAACAACCAAAACTATACAAGACTGACCCCACAATAAGGAATTATTTGGCCCAAAATGTCAATCGTGCCAAGACTGAGAAAACACTTGTATATGTGTATACTAGGGTGTCAGTATATGTATTTATACATGCATGTATTTTCTACCTCTGTCTACTTAAAGGGCCCAGAAACAAAGACATCCCAGTAATAATGCCCATACCTAGTGCCCGTATCTTGGTCTCTAATACATATCATGCGCCACTAAGAAGAACCAAAGCTTGTTGGAGAAAGAGCTGATTCTAGAATTAAGGCAGGATAGGTACACAGTAAACCCGGAACATCTTGTTATTCTAGAAAGTAAGGAAATAATCTCCCAAAATGATAGAAGCATACAAAAGCATCAACTGAGGGGGCTCTCATGGGCCAAATTTGGGACAATTCAAGTATGAAAACAGTGAGAATAGTAATGAATGATAAACTATGGAAAATATGAGAACTCATGAGTTCACACCAATAATGAAAAGACAGCCAGGTGTGGTGGCTCACATCTGTAATCCCAGCACTTTGGGAGGCCGAGGTGGGCGCATCACCTGAGGTCAGGAGTTCAAGACCAGCCTGGCCAACATGGTGAAACCCTGTCTCTACTAAAAATACAAAAATTAGCCAGGAGTGGTGGTGGGTGCCTGTAATCTCAGCTACTTGGGAGGCTGAGGCAGGAGAATCGCTTGAACCCGGGAGGCAGAGGTTGGAGTGAGCCAAAATCGCAGCACTGCACTCTGTGCACTCCAGCCTGGGTAATAGAGTGAGACTCCATCTCCCAAAAAAACAAAAACAAAAACAAAAGAAAAAAGACAAGTAAATAAAAAGAAGAAAAAGAAAGTCCCTTGCTTACAGCAAAATGATAAGTGCTGCCTGTAGTGTGGAATGAGTGGTGGTGAAAACCATCACTCTATAACCACTGTAGTAAAGATGGTTCAGGCGAGAATCAATAGACCTCAAATCCAGGAGGGAAATACTGATGGAAAACATGAATGTTTGCATGGTCTTAAAGTACTTCCCACTTATTTGTGGTAAAGAAAATGACAGTAACTACACAGTGAAAAAATCAATCATCTTGGTTGAGGATGAAAACTGAGGGGCAGATGACCATTATGTCTCTCTAAATCCAACTCTCTTAAGAAGAATACAAACTACTTATGTAGTATTCTGGCCAAGAATGCGTAACCTGAATCTCATCATGAGGAAACACTAGAAAAGTACAATATGAGCATTTTGGGAGGCTGAGGTGGACAGATCACCAGGTCAGGAGTTTGAGACCAGTCTGGCCGACACAGTGAAACCCCGCCTCTACTAAAAATACAAAAAATAAGCCGGGTGTGGTGGTGTGCGCCTGTAATTCCAGCTACTCGAGAGGCTGAGGCAGGAGAATAGTGTGAACCCAGGAAGTGGAGGTTGCAGTGAGCCGAGATCACACCATTGCACTCCAGCCCGAGTGACAGTGCGAGGCTCTGTCTCAAAAAAAAAAAAAAAAAAGGACAATATGAGAAATACTCTATTTTAAAACAAAGACTATTCCTCAAAAACATCAAGGTCAAAAAAAAAAAAAAAAGACAAAAGCTGAGGAACTGTTCCAGATTAAATGTGACTGAAGACACATGAGGGCTAAATGAAATACCTGATCCTGGATGGGATGATGTACGAGAGTAACAAAGTGCCACAAAGGACATTATGGAATCAACTGATAAAACTGGAATATGGAAGGTTAAATTTAATAAAACTGCTAGCTATACTATGGTTTTATAGAATATCCTTATTTTGGGGAACTACTTAAGTTTATTTGTGGGAAAAGGTATTTCTTTGATATATGCAACTTACTCTAACATGGTTTAAGAAAAACCTATTGCATACTGCACACACAGACCCCCAACACACAGAGTGCAAATGATAAAGCAAATGGTACAAAATGTTAACAATGGGTGTATTTCAAAAAACATTAGTATGCTTTGTGCTAATCTTGCAACTTTATAAATTTGAAATTACTTCCAAATAAAAATTGTTGAAAAGCCACAAAATTTTTTTTTTAATTGTAAAAATATAGAACATACTCATGCCTGTAATCCCAGCACTTTGGGAGGCCAAAGCAGGAGGATCACGAAGTCAGGAGTTAGAGACCAGCCTGGCAAAGATGGTGAAACCCTTTTCTCTACTAAAAATACAAAAATTAGCTGGGCGCAGTGGCAGGCGCCTGTAATCCCAGCTACTTGGGAGGCTGAGGCAAGAGAATTGGTTGAACCCTGGAAGCGGAGGTTGCAGTGAGCCGAGATTGCACCACTGCACTCCAGCCTGGGCGACAGAGCAAGACTCCATCTCAAAAAAAAAAAGAAGTAGAACATAAAGCTACATTTTCCCGTTTTGTTTTTATGTTTTTAAAGCTAGTCAGGTGAAGCGGGGGAGTGGAAAATCCCCCTATGTTCTTCACCTATAAAAATGGAATGCTATAAAATACTCTAAAACAGAAGAGGTCAAACCATTTCACACCTCTCTCATTAAAGCATCTGCATTAATTATTTTATTAGCTACCTCATAAAGTTCAAATTCTTCAAATTCTGTAATGGCCATTGGAAGATAAAAGAAACACAACAAGGCAAAGGAAAGACATCAGTGATAACAAGAACAAAACAGCTTTCATTTTTCTAATGCACAGATTCCACACCAAAAAAAGGTTTAGAGGAGCTATGAAGCACCTAACTTCCTATTGAACATAATATTTTAAAAGATAAGCTTAGGGGCCAGGCGCGGTGGCTCACGCCTGTAATCCCAGCACTTTGGGAGGCCGAGGCAGGCGGATCACGAGGTCAGGAGATTGAGACCATCCTGGCTAACACGGTGAAACCCCATCTCTACTAAAAATACAAAACTTAGCCAGGCGTGTTGACGGTCACCTGTAGTCTCAGCTACTCGGGAGGTTGAGGCAGAAGAATGGCGTGAACCCAGGAGGCAGAGCTTGCAGTGAGCCGAGATTGCGCCACTGCACTCCAGCCTGGGTGACAGAACGAGAGTCCATCTCAAAAATAAAAATAAAAATAAGCTTAGGGTAAAACTCATCCCAACTGACTTGTCTGTTTTGCGTTAAACTTACATACAGTCAAGTCACAAGGGTGAATAATGCTGTATCACGGCCGGGCAAAGTGGCTCATGCCTGTAATCCCAGCACTTTGGGAGGCCGAGGTGAGTGGATCACTTGAGGTCAGGAGTTCGAGACCAGCCTGGACAAGATGGTGAAAGCCCATCTCTACTAAAAATACAAAAATTAGCTAGGCATGGTAGCGGGTGCCTGTAATCCCAGCTACTTGGGAGGCTGAGGCAGAAGAATAGCTTGAACCTGGGAGGCGGAGGTTGAAGTGAGCCGAGATGGCGCCATTGCACTCCAGCCTGGGTGACAAAAGCGAAAAACTCCTTCTCAGAAAGAATAAATAAATTTTAAAAATAATGCTATATCATAATAAGACTGTTTTAAAATCAGACCAAACTGCCTAAACTAATATTGGAACACTGGTAAAAATAGTTTTAATCTTAGAAGAGACCTCCCAAAGCTGTATTTTAATTTACTACTTTCTCTCTCATGAGGGAGATTTTTTTTAAAGCACAAAACAAAGAAACTTACAGTTCATCTCGTTGTCTCTGGGACAGCACCATCTTGGCTGTAATGTCAAGCTTATCTGATATAGTGGTATGTCCCTCCTTTGGGAAATCAAAAAGCTTTTTGATCCGTGGACTTATAATTTAAATATGCCACTAAGTGTCTTCCACACAGGGGAAAATGATTCTTTCACAAATGAATCCAACTAGTAACCAGAAGATATTCAACAAGTAAGATTCATTCCACCTAAGGAGAAAGAGAAGAAAAAAAAAGATTATTTCACTTAAAATTTATTTCTAAATTATTAGTTACAGTACTCATTTTCAAAGATAAATTTTATTGTGATGTTAGTATAAATATTAGATGATGATTTTCCACTTATAGTGAAAGTCAACTAATGTCAAAAACCATACTGTTTTGTCTTTTAAATTAATAATTCAATGAGCCAAAACAGCATTACTTTTAAATTTAACATACATTTACCCACTCCCAATCATGTTAACCTGCCAGATACATTTGATTTCAAATATTAACATGTAACTCTAAACGAATGTAATTCTCTCTTAGAGACAAAAAGTAAAATTTCAAATTTACAAAAAAGGTATAAAAGGTAAAACAGATAAGGGTTTCATGAACTGCACAAGCCGAACAGTGCCAACTATAACTGAAGTAACCTTCAAGGTTGAGTGTTAGTCACCAATAACCTTAGAATGGCCGGTATTTATAACATACACTACTTAGCAATCTTACGCTTTTTATTGTTTTTTTGGAGACAGGTTCTCACACAGGTTGGAGTGCAGTGGCATGATCACAGCTTATTGCAGCCTTCCCCCTCTGGGCTTAAGCGATCCTCCCACCTCAGCTTCCCAAGCAGCTGGGACGACAGGCACACACCACCATGCCCAGCTAATTCTTAAATTTTTTTTTTGTAGAGACAGGTCTCCCTACATTGCTGGTCTCAAACTCCTGTATTCATGGGATCCTCCTGCCTCAGTCTCCCAAAGTGCTGGAATCTTATGCTCTCTTAACCAATGTACCTAATTAAGAAATGTATTTGAGATGGTCTTACTTAAAATAGAGGCTACTGGTATATATAAAATTTGATTGGAAGAGGCAATTCAAAGCAATAAAAAAATCATCCTCCAAATGATATGAAATTAACATATAATGAAGATCCTGTGGGACAACCAATCTAGAAACCTATCATGGACAGAAGAGTTAAGGACCATTTCCTGAGTACCTTTCAAATGCCATTCCAGTCACTGCTCCAGGCACTGAGAATACAGTAATGAATAAGCCAGTGAAGAAAGAAGAATGAGAGGCGGGGTGTGGTGGCTCACATATGTAATTAATCCTAGTACTTTGGGAGGTTAAGGCAAGAGGATCACTTGAGCCCAGGAGTTCAAGACCAGCCTGGGAAACACAGGAGACCCCGTCTCTACAGAAAATTTTAAAAATTAGGTAGGTGTGATGGTGCATGCTTACTTGAGAAGCTAAGGCAGGAGGAATGCTTGCTACCCAAGAGTTCAAGGTTATGGAAAGCTACGATCATGCCATTGCACTCCAGCCTAGGTGACAAAGCGAGACCCAATTTCTTTTAAAGGAAAAAAAAATGCATACCTTCGGGTTTCAAATATGAGCCCTGAGGCCAGGCGTGGTGGCTTATGTCTGCAAACCTAGCACTTTGGGAGGCTGAGGTGGGCAGACCACTTGAGGTGAGGAGTTTGCGACCAGCCTGGCCAACACGGTGAAATCTCGTCTCTACTAAAAATACAAAAATTTGCGAGAAATTGCTTGAACCTGGGAGACAGAGGTTGCAGTGAGCCAACATGCTACTGTACTCCAGTCTGGGCAACAGAGGAAGAGTCCGTCTCAAAAACAAACAAACGAAAAACGAACATGAGCCCTGAGTGAAAAAGTGACAGCTCAGGTGCTCGCTATGGCAACTGCTATTTCATTAGAGATCCTTATCTGAAGAACAATTCTAGTAAATATAAGCAGGAATTTATTTTATAATCCTTAAGGATTCTTCTGACCTGGAGCCCAGCTAACTACAAATGATAGCTGAAAGCCATCACTATCACTCCATCTAAATTCTGAGAAATATGGTTGGAATCAGTAAGAACTAGTGGAACTGGAACCAAACACAACAGACAAGCCAGTAAACCATACTTCTTTGGTACTTAACAACTCCCAATTATTCAAGTCTCACTTTTCTTCATACTGTTTCTTTTTTGAGATGGGGTCTTATTTTGTTGTCCAGGCTGGCGTACAGTGGCAGCATAATCATGGTTCATTGCAGCCTCAACCAAGCTGGGCTCAGCCTCTTGAGTAGCTAAGAATACAGGCATGTGCCACCAACCCCAGCTAATTTTTTTTTTTTTTTTTTTTGTATTTTTCTATTTTTGTAGAGACAGGGTTTTGCCACGTTGCCCAGGCTGGTCTCAAATTTCTGAACTGAAGCAATCCTCCTGGCTTGGCCTCCCAAAGTCCTAGGATTACAAGCATGAGCCACCATGCCTGGCTCAATTATATAGAGTGAAAACGAGGTAGGGCAAAACTCCCTGCTTTAATCAGAAAAAAACCCCCACTATATTATGTATATTACAGAGTCCAATTTAATTATAAACATATCTCTGCTAGCCAAAAAAGCAAATGAATGTACAAGAATAATGACAGTGTAGTACATGGTGGCTCATGCCTGTAATCCCAACACTTTGGGAGGCTGAGGTGGAAGGATTGCTTGAGCCCAGGAGTTTGAGACCAGCCTGGGAAACAAAGCGAGACCCTGTCTCTACAAGTAAAAAAAATTGGCAGGGCATGGTGGCACACACCTATAGTCAGTCCCAGCTACTCAGGCGGCAGAGGCAGGAGGGTTGCTTGAGCCCAGGAGGTCAAGGCTGCAGTGAACCATGATTGTGGCACTATACTCCAGGCTGGGCGCCAGAGAGAAACTCTGTCTCTTAAGAAATAAAAATAAAAGAAAGAATGATGACAGTACTGGCACAGTAGGATTATCTAATAATGATAAAACACATACATAAATCATTAAATATATTGGTGTACTGAACAAATTTATTCATTCAACAAACATATAAAGAACACTTAATTTATATTATGTGCTACGTATTGTCTTAAATAACATGTTTAATGGGGAAAATGACTTGGTCTTTTTTTTTTTTTTTGAGACAGAGTTTCACTCTTGTTGCCCAGGAGGGCACTGGCACAATCTCAGCTCACTGCAACCTCTGCCTCCCAGCTTCTAGTGATTCTCCTGCCTCAGCCTCCTGAGTAGCTGGGATTACAGGCACCCACGACCATGCCTGGCTACTTTTTGTATTTTTAGTAAAGACGGGGTTTCACCATGTTGGCCAGGCTGGTCTCAAACTCCTGACTTCAAGTGATCCGCCGGCCTTGGTCTCCAAAGTGCTCGGATTACAGGCTTGAGCCACCACACCTGGCTGGACTTGGTCTTTACATTCAAGAAGTTACAGTCTACTGGAAGCATCGGCCAAGAAGGCAATTAAAACAGCGTGAATAATGTGACAAGTATTGCCACCTGCGGGTGATGACTCAGGACGAAGCTGAGCAAGCAAACAGGCCACAAAATAAACTCAGGTCTTTATAATTTATCCCAGGGCCAATAGGGAGCCATTAGATAAGATTTTAGGAAAAAAAAAAATCACTCACTTACATAGTGAAGAATAGATCAGAAAGGAAGCTTACAGTAATGAAGGTTACAGATGACAGAGGTCTACATTAGGACAACAGGAGTAAATAAAAAAAATGAGATGCATTTAAGTTGTTTACTGGGTATATCTTACAGGACTAGTGACTCAATGTGGACAGCCAGAAAGGGAGAAAGTCAGTCAAGGAGTCAAGTGATTTCTGGCTTACAACCAAGTTGAGACTGGGCGCGGTGGCTCATGCCTGTAATCTCAGGACTTTGGGAGGCCAAGGTGGGTGGATCACCTGAGGTCAGGAGTTCAAGACCAGCCTGGCCAACATGGCAAAACCCCGTCTCTACTAAAAATACAAAAAATTAGCTGGGCATGGTGGCGAGCACCTGTAATCCAGCTACTTGAGAGGCTGAGGCAGGAGAATCGCTTGAACCTGGGAGGCGGAGGTTGCAGTTGAGCTGAAATTGAGCCATTGCACTCCAGGGTGGGCAACAGAGCAAGACTCCGTCTCAAAAAAACAAACAAAAAAACTAAACTAAATTGAACAGGAAACTAGAATGTGTGAGGGGATGAGGAAAGTATGATTAACTCCATTTTACGTATGTTGATTCTAAGATGCCTGTGAAATCTCCAGTACCAAACTGTAACAAACAAGTTAGTTCTGAAGCGAACCAACCTATTAAAAAAAAAAAAAAAAAAAAAAGGTTTGGTACTTTTTATTTAGAAATGTTTTCTGAAACCACAGCAGATGGTAAGATTACCCATGGAGACTGTGCAGAGCAACACCTATATTAAAAAGAGCCTACAACTGAGGCTGAAAGTAACAGTTCAAGAGGTAAAAGAAAAAGAGGAGAGAGTATGTCTCAAAAGCCAAGAAAGTATTTCAAGGAAGCAATCAACAGTATCCAAACCTGTCCAACTATCAAGCAAAGTAAGGTTGGATGGGTCTGTTGTACTCAGCAAGGAGTTCGTTGATAACCTTGATGAGAATGGTTTCAGTAAAATGGTTTCACATGGCAGAAATATTTAAATGAGGAAAGAGATGAAGCAGAGATGGTACCATAAACAAATATTTTAAAAGTAGATGAAAATATTGAAAAGCAGTTTTTCTCTTTCTTCCCCCAGCCAAATTAGATACTTAAATCCTGATAGTCTAGGTATGATGCCTTACAAATTAAAAAAAAAAAAAGAAATCCTGGCTGGGCACAGTGGCTCACACCTGTAATCCCAGCACTTTGGGAGGCTGAGGCAGGTGGATTACCTGAGGTCAGGAGTTTGAGTCCAGCCTGACCAACATGGCGAAACCCCATCTCTACTAAAAATACAAAAATTAGCTGGTTGTGGCAGCAGGCACCTGTAATCCCAGCTACTCGGGAGGCTGAGGGAGGAGAAGTGCTGGAACCCAGGAGACGGAGGTTGCAGTGAGCTGAGATTGCATCACTGCACTGCCCTGGCAACAGAGCAAAACTCCAGCTCCAAAAAAAAAAAAGAAAAGAAAGAAAAAGAAAAAGAAAAAAATAAATCTTGATGGTGGAGAAAAAGACCACAGGAGAAATGAAGAAAGAATTAACCAAAGCCTAGTGAAACAACAAAAAGACAACCAGACCAGGGGTATGATTATAGTTATATATCTATATAACTACAGTTTATATTGGTGTAGTGATGGAATAACAACTACCACCCAAGAAGTATTCTTGCCACAAAAATCAAACATGAATCAAGCCTCTGGCTCCAACTACCAATCTGCAAGAAGTACAGAGGGCAGATGAATACAGTGTGCACCTCAGTATCCATGGGGCAATGGTTCTAGGACCTCCAGGATTTTGGTATCCGAGGTTGCTCATATCCCTGATAAAAAATGGTGTAGGATTTACATATAACCTATGCATATCTTCCCCTATAATATAAATCATCTCTGGATTACATATAATACTCAATACAATGTAAATATTATGTAAATAGTTGTTATAATGTATTATTAAGAGAATGACAAGAATAAAAGTCTGTATATATTCAGTACAGACATATTTTTTTCTAATATTTTCTATCCGGGATTGAATTCACAGATGCAGAACCCACAGATACAGAGGGCCAACTGTACGTTAAAGAACACCATGGGGATACAATCAACAAAATCTAGACTGTGAAAAGTCCTATAAAACAAATGACCCAGTTTCTTCAATAAATACCAAGGGAAGAAAAAAGAGATAGAAAGGGAAACCTCTGGATTAAGTGAGACAAGTAACATATCAACCAATAGCAATTTATAGACTTAATTTAGATCTAGAGTTAGACAAATTGTAAAATAAACCAATGAACAAACTTGGGAAAATTTGAACACTGGCTGGACATCTGGTAATACTAAATAACTGAATTTTTTTGAAGTGATAACAGTATTGTGGCTATTTTTAAAAATCTTTCAGAAATACACAATGAGGCTGAGTGTGGAGGCTCACGCCTGAAATCCCAAGACTTCGGGAGGCCAAGGCAGGAGGATTGTTTGAGGCCAGGAGTTCAAGACCAGCCTGAGCAACACAGCAAGACCCCATCTCTACAAAAAGAAAATAAACAATGAAAAAGCTACATCAAATCGAAGTAAAATAATATCATGTCTGTGACTTGGGTAATGACAGTGAATAAGAGAGATACATGAAACAAGACAGGCTTTGAATTGCTAACTGTTGAGGCTGGGTAATGGGTACATAATGGTTCATTACACTACTCTAACTTTGTGGAAGGGTCTGACATTTTCCATAATAAAACATTTTTTAAAAAATCAGAAGGAGAGGAATTAAAGGATCATGGCAGACAGGAAGCAGGACTAGATTGCAGCTTCGGACAGAGCTGCATGCAGAGGCTTGCACTGTGAATTTTAGCTCCAGATCCACTGCAAGAACAAACCAGCAACCCCAAGAGGATCCACAGACCCTCTGAAGGAAGCGGATTGCTCCTGCAGGACCCGGGAGACACCCCAAATACTGTGAGTGTCCCAACTGCAGAAGTGAGAAAGGAAGACCCTCCTCTCCTGAGCACACACCCCCACTAGAGAAGCTGAAGGTCCGTTTGCAGTCGAAGTTTCAGACTAACTTAGAGAGCCACGCAAAATGCAGGGATAGAGGATGCAGCAGAAAGGCCCCGGGAGCTCACTGGATCCCCAAGCAGCCCATTCTTGCCTGGCACCACAGGGAGGGTGGACAGAGAAGGAGGGGGTAAAACCCCACAGGGAGAAGGAATTCTCTAGCCAAATTTTGTAACCATCTGAATGGGGTGGGAAGCCTCCTGGCCAGAACTCAGGGGAGGGTGCGAATCCGGCATGCAGACTTCACAGACTACGGAAGAACTAAAGCCCTTTTCTTTCACCGCTGGGAGGCAGATAGCCTGGGCCAAGTTTCCTTTCTTTCTTTTTCTTTCTTTTTTTTTTTGAGACAGAGCATCTTGCTCTGTCGCCCAGGCTGAAGTGCAGTGGTCCAACCTTGGCTCACTGCAGCCTCTGCCTCCCGGGTTCTAGTGATTCCCCTGCCTCAGCCTCCTGAGTAGCTGGGATTACAAGCACACGCCACCACGCCTGGCTAATTTTTGTATTTTTAGTAGAGACAAGGTTTCACCATGTTGGTCAGGCTGGTCTCAAACTCATGACCTCAGGTGATCCACCACCTCAGCCTCCCAAAGTGCTGGGATTGCAGGCGTGGGCCACCGCGCCCAGCCTTGTCATAATTTTTAATGACTGAATGATATTTGATCATGTGGATGTACTATTTTTAACAATCTTTTATGGCTAGATATTTAAATCATGTCTATTTTCAATTACCAGCTTGAAGACAGTAACCCAACCCAACAAAGACAAAGAAAAAAGAATAAGAAAATATGAACAAAGCTTCCAAGACGTCTGGGATTATCTTAAACGACCAAACCTAAGAATAATCAGTGTTCCTGAGGAAGAAGAGAACTCTAAAAGCGTGGAAAACATATTTGGGAGAATAACTGAGGAAACTCCCCCGGCCCTGCTAGAGACCTAGACATTCAAATACAAGAAGCACAAAGAACACCTGGGAAAGTCACTGCAAAAAGATCTTCACTAGGCACACTGTCATCAGGTTATCCAAAGTTAAGACAAAGGAAAGAATCTTAAGAGCTGTGAGACAGAAGCACCAGGTAACCTATAAAGGAAAACCTATCAGTTTAACAGCAGATTTCTCAGCAAAAACCCTACAAGCTAGAAGGGATTAGGGCCTTATCTTCGGCCTCCTCAAACAAAACAATTATCAGCCAAGAATTTTATATCCAGTGAAACCAAGCATCGTGTATGAAGGAAAGCTACAGTCATTTTCAGACAAACAAATGCTGAGAGAATTCACCATTACCAAGCCACCATTACAAGAACTGCTAAACGGAGCTCTAAATCTTGAAACAAATCCTTGAAACACATCAAAACAGAACCTCTTTAAAGCATAAATCACATAGGACCTACAAAACAAAAATTCAAGTTAAAAAGCAAAAGCAAAAAACAAAAAAACCCAAAGTACACAGGCAACAAAGAGCATGATGAATGCCGCGGTACCTCACATTTCAATACTAACATTGAATGGAAATGGACTAAATACTCCACTTAAAAGATGCAGAACTGCAGACTGAGTAAGAACTCACCAACCATCTGCAGCCTCCTGTTCAGGAGACTCACCTAAAGCATAAGGACTCACATAAATTTAAAGTAAAGGGGTGGAAAAGGGCATTTCATGCAAATGGACACCAAAAGCAAGCAGGGGCAGCTATTCTCATATCAGACAAAACAAATTTTAAAGCAACAGCGGTTAAAAGAGAAAAAGAGGGACGTTATATAATAGTAAAAGGCCTTGTCCAACAGGAAAATACCACAATCCTAAACATATATGCATCTAACACTGGAGTGCCCAAATTTATAAAACAATTACTAATAGACCTAAGAAATGAGACAGACAGCAACACAATAATAGTGGGGGACTTCAATACTCCACTGACAGCACTAGACAGGTCATCAAGACAGAAAGTCAACAAAGGAACAACGGATTTAAACTATACCCTGGAACAAATGGACTTAACAGATATACACAGAACATCTCATCCAATAACCACAGAATACACATTCTATTCAACAGCCCATGGAACTTTCTCCAAAGCAGACCACAAAACGAGCATCAATAAATTTAAGAAAATTGAAATTATATCAAGCACTCTCTCAGACCACGATGGAATAAAACTGAAAATAAACTCCAAAATGAACCTTCAAAACCATGCAAATACATGGAAATTAAATAACCTGTTCCTGAATGAGCACTGGGTCAAAAATGAAATCAAGATGGAAATTAAAAAATTCTTTGAACTGAATGACAATAATGACACACCCTATCAAAACCTCTGGGATACAGCAAACGCAGTGCTAAGAGGAAAGTTCATAGCCCTAAACGCCTACATCAAAAAGTCTGAAAGAGCACAGACAATCTAAGGTCACACCTCAAGGAACTAGAGAAAGAGGAACAAACCAAACCCAAACCCAGCAGAAGAAAATAAATAACCAAGATCAGAGCAGAACTAAATGAAATTGAAACAAACAAACAAAAAAACACAGTACAAAAGATAAATGAAACAAGCTGGTTCTTTGAAAAGATAAAACAAAATTGATAGACCATTAGCAAGATTAACCAAGGAAAGCAGAGAGAAAATCCAAATAACCTCACTAAGAAATGAAACAGGAGATATTACAACTGACACCACAGAAATACAAAAGATCATTCAAGGCTACTGTGAGCACCTTTACACACATAAATGAGAAAACCTAAAAGAGATGGATAAATTCTTGGAAAAACACAACCCTCCTCACATAAATCAGGAAGAATTAGATACGCTGAACAGACCAATAACAAGCAGTGACACTGAAACGGTAATTAAGAAATTACCAACAAAAAAAGGTCCAGGACCAGACGGATTCACAGCAGAATTCTATCAGACATTCAAAGAAGAGTTGGTACCAATTCTTTTGATAATATTCCACAAGACAGAGAAAGAAGGAGCCCTCCCTAATTCATTTTATGAAGCCAGCATCACCCTAATACCAAAACCAGGAAAGGAAACTACAACCAAACAACCAAAAAAAGAAAACTACAGACCAATATCCTTAATGAACATAGATGCTAAAATCCTTAAAAAAATACTAGCTAACCAAATCCAACAACATATCAAAAAGATGTGTTGATCCACCATGATCAAGTAGGTTTCATATTAGGGATGCAGGGATGGTTTAATATATGCAGGTCAATAAATGTGATACAATACATACAGAATTAAAAACAAAAACCACATGATCATCTCAATAGATGTAGAAAAAGCGTTCAACAAAATCCAGAATCCCTTTATAATTAAAACTCTCTGCAAAATCAGCATACAAGGGAAATAACATAATAAAAGCCAACTATGACAAACCCACAGCCAACATAATAATGAAAGGGGAAAAGTTGAAAGCATTCCCTCTGAGAACTCGAACAAGACAAGGATGCCCACTCTCACCGCTCCTCTTCAACATAGTACTGGAAGTCCTAGCCAGAGCAATCAGACAAGAGAAAGAAATAAAGGGCATCCAAGTCAGTAAAGAGGAAGTCAAACTGTCACTGTTTGCTGACGATATGATCGTTTACCTTGAAAACCCTAAAGACTCCTCAGATAGCTCCTAGAACTGATAAAAGAATTCGGCAAAGTTTCTGGATTCAAGATTAATGTACACAAATCAGTAGCTCTTCTATACACCAAGAGCAACTAAGCAGAGGATCAAATCAAGAACTCAACCCCTTTTACAATAGCCACAAATAAAATACTTAGGAATATACCTAACCAAGGAGTTGAAAGACATCTACAAGGAAAACTATAAAATGTTGCCAAAAGAAATCAGAGATGACACAAACAAATGGAAACACATCCCATGCTCATGGATGGGTAGAATATTGTGAAAATGACCATACTGCCAAAAGCAATCTACAAATTCAACACAATCCCCATCAAAATACCATCATTCTTCATAGAATTACAAAAAATGATTCTAAAATTTATGTGGAACCAAAAAAGAGACTGCATAGCCAAAGTAAGACTAAGCAAAAAGAACAAATCTGGAGGCATCACACTATCTGCTTTCAAACTATACTATAAGGCCATAGTCACCAAAACAGCGTGGCACTGGTAAAAAATAGGCACATAGACCAATGGAACAGAATGGAGAACCCAGAAATAAACCCAAATACTTACAGCCAACTGATCTTCAACAAAGCAAACAAACACATAAAGTAGGGAAAGGACACCCTTTTCAATAAATAGTGCTGAGATAACTGGCTAGCCACATACAGGAAAATGAAACTGGATCCTCATCTCTCACCTTATACAAAAATCAACTCAGGATGAATTAAGGACTTAAACCTAAGACCTGAAACTAAAAATTCTAGAAGGTAACACTGGAAAAACCCTTCTAGACATTGGCTTAGGCAAGGATCTCATGACCAAGAACCCAAAAGCAAATGCAATAAAAACAAAGATAAATAGCTGGGACCTAATTAAACTGAAGAGCTTTTGGATGGCAAAAGGAACAATCAGCAGAGTAAACAGACAACCCACAGGGTGGGAGAAAATCTTCACAATCTATACATCTGACAAAGGACTGATATCCAGAATCTACAATGAACTCAAACAAGTCAGTAAGAAAAAACAAACAATCCCATCAAAAAGTTGGCTAAGGACATGAAGAGACAATTCTCAAAAGAAGATATACAAATGGCCAACAAACATATAAAAAATTGCACCCAGGCGGGGTGGCTCACGACTGTAATCCCAGCACTCTGGGAGGTCGATGCGGGCAGATCACAAGATCTGGACTTCAAGACCAGCCTGGCCAATATGGTGAAACCCTATCTCTACTAAAAATACAAAAATTAGCCGGGCTTGGTGGCACGCGCATGTAATCCCAGCTACTTGGGAGGCTGAGGCAGTTGAATTGCTTGAACCAGGGAGTCAGAGGTTGCAGTGAGCCAAGATCGCGCCACTGCACTCCAGCTCTGGGCGACAGAACAAGACTCCGCCTCGGGGGGGGGGGGGGGGGGAAGAAAGGTGATGCCGGTTCAAGTTTGTCATCAACTCTATAACCTGAGTAATTAATCTAAATTTTCTACATAGTAGCTAACATCTAAGGCACCCTTTAACTCAGATTATTTCAGCCTGTGAATTTTCTAACTTTAACCTTTCCAACCTTTAACATGTATTTTTGCTATCAGAAAGCACAAGTATATGATTGAGTTATCATACTTATTTTAAGAATACAATTTTACCTTTCCAGTTGCCTTTTAATGGTTAACACATAATCGCAAAATACCACATGAAAACAGAAATAATTTTTTTTTTTTTTGAGACGGAGTCTCACTGTCGCCCAGGCTGGAGTGCAGTGGCGTGATCTCGGCTTACTGCAACCTCTGCCTCCTGGGTTCAAGCGATTGTTTTGCCTCAGCCTCCCGAGTAGCTGGTATTACAGGTGCATACCACTATGCCTAGCTAAATTTTTTTGTATTTTTAGTAGAGACAGGGTTTCACCATGTTGGTCAGGCTGGTTCCCAACTCCTGACCTCAAGTGATCCACCTGCCTTGGCCTCCCAAAGTGCTGGAATTACAGGCATGAGCCACCACGCCTGGCTTTTATTAACGTTTTTCTGTTTTTCTTGAGACAGGGTCCTCACTCTGTCACTCAGGCTAGAGAGCAATGGCATGATCGATCATAGCTCACTGCAGCCTCTAACTCCTAGGCTCAAGAGATCCTCCTACCTTAGCCTCCTGAGTAGCTGGGACAACAGATGCATGCCACCATGCCTAGCTAATTTTTTCTTTTTACCCCCAACCTCCGCTAGAGACGGGGTCCCGCTATGTTGCCTAGGCTGGTCTTTAATTCCTGGGCTCAAGCGATTCTGTCACCTCGGCCACCCAAAGTGCTGAGATTACAGGAAAGAGCCTCCATGCCCAGCCTCTAATAAATGGTTCTTAAATGGAGTAAACATTTTTTAAAGAAAGAGTTTAGAATATTTTGCAACGAACAATCTACATTAACCAACAGTACAAATAAATCAGGCAATATTTTCATACTACCTGGTATAGAAGTTCTTAACCTTTTTTGAGGTTACTGGACTCCTTTGAGAATATAATGAAAGCTAAGATCTTTCCTCTCAAAGAAGCACATATGAAAATAAACAAAATATTGCATGTATTTTAAGGGGGTTCACAAATCTTTCCAAAGTCAAAATAACGAATAAGAAGATTTAATATTTTTGAAATGTATTTTGGCAGTATTCCAATATTCTTTTAAGCTACTTGCATATATGACAAACAAAATTCAAAGAGTCTGATTTTTTCATTTGCATGTCAATATCCAGACTTTCTTAGACTGATATCAAGGACACTGTTGCTTAAGCACTAGAAACAGAGGCTTTAGTATGCTTTTGGAATGCAGAATTCTTAAGCATTCTCTAGTCTAATACTATATCCACGTATCTGCTATCCAATGCAGCATCTAAGACAACAATGTGTTTATTGCTAGGGTAAGTACCCCACCACAAAAAGAGAAAGTGGAAGAGTTAAAAAAAAAAAAATAGAAAGTATAAATAATTATATGTTAACAGTAGAGGCGCAATGACATGAAAATGGAAATCATCGGATTTATTATCAGATGTAGAAGGAAGAAATAAAGACTTATCCGGTAATTCATCAATTATCAATGGTTCCTAACCTCAAACTGTCACTTGCCAAAGCTTTATTTAAAAGGTCAGCAGAGGCCGGGCACAGTGGCTCAAGCCTGTAATTCCAATATTTTGATGGACCGAGGCATGCAGATCGCTTGAGCCCAGGAGTTCAAGACTAGCCTGGGCAACACAGAGAAACCAGGTGATATGGTTTGGCTGCGTCCCCACAGAAATCTCAACTTGACTTGTATCTCCCAGAATTCCCATGTGTTACGGAAGGGACCCAGCGGGAGGTAACTGAATCACGGGGCCAGTCTTTCCTGTGCTATTGTTGCGATAGTAAGTCTCACAAGATCTGACAGGTTTATCAGGGGTTTCCATTTTTGCTTCTTCCTCATTTTTCTCTTGCCCCTGACATGTAAGAAGTGCCTTTCACTTCCTATCATGATTCTGAGGCCTCCCCAGCCATGTGGAACTACAAGTCCAATTAAACCTTTTCTTGTTCCCAGTTTCGGGTATGTCTGTATCAGCAGCAAGAAAACGAACTAATACAGTAAACTGGTAACAGTAGAACGCGGAATTGCTGAAAAGATACCCGGAAATGAGGAAGTGACTTTGGAAGTGGGTAACAGGCAGAGTTTGGAACAGTTTGGAGGGCTCAGAAGACAGGAAAACCTGGGAAAGTTTAGAATCTCCTAGAGACTTGTTGAATGACTTTTACAAAAATGCTGATGGTGATATGAACAATAAGGTCCAGGCTGAGGTGGTCTCAGATGGAAATGAGGAGTTCGTTGGGAACTGGAGCAAAGGTGACTCTTATTATGTTTTAGCAAAGAGACTGGCAGCATTTTGCCCCTGCCCTAGAGATTTGTGGAACTTTGAACTTGAGAAAGATGATTTAGGGTATCTGGCAAAAGAAATTTCTAAGCAGTAAAGCATCCAAAAGGTGACCTGGGTGTTTGAAAAGTATTTCGTTTTCAAAGGGAAGCAGAGCAACCAGGGGCAGTGGCTCACGCCTGTAATCCTAGCATTTTGGGACGCCAAGGTGGGCGGATCCTCTGAAGTCAGCAGTTTCGAGACCAGCCTGGCCAACATGGTGAAACCCCATCTCTACTAAAAACACAAAAATTAGCCAGGAGTGGTGGCTAATCCCAGCTACTGTGGCTGGGATCCCAGCTACCTGGAGGCTGAGGCAGGAGAATCACTTCAACCCAGGAGGTGGAGGTTTCAGTGAGCAGAGATCGCACCACTGCAGTCCAGCCTGGGCGACAGAGCAAGACTCCATCTTTAAAAAAAAAAAAAACGGGGAAGTAGAGCATGAAAGTTTAGAAAATTTGCAGCCTGACTATATGATAGAAAAAAAAACAACATTTTTTGGCCAGACGCAGTGGCTCACGCCTGTAATCCCAGGACTTTGGGAGGCCAAGGCGGGTAGATCACAAGGTCAGGAGATTGAGACCATCCTGGCTAACATGCTGAAACCCTGTCTCTACTAAAAATACAAAAAATTAGCCGGGTGTGGTGGTGGTCACCTGTAGTCCCAGCTACTCGGGAGGCTGAGTCAAGAGAATGGCATGAATCCAGGAGGCGGAGCCAAGATCATGCCACTGCACTCCAGCCCGGGCGACAGAGTGAGACTCCCTCTCAGGGAAAAAAAAAAAAAAAAAAAAAAGAAAGGAAAAACCCATTTTCTGGGGAGAAATTCAAGCTGGCTGCAGAAATCTGCATAAGAAGCAAGGAGCCTAATGTTAATCCCCAAGACTATGGAGAAAATGTCTCCAGTCCATGTCAGAGAACTTCCTGGCAGCAGCCCCTCCCATCACAGGCCTGGAGGCCCAGGAGAAAAAAGTGGTTTCATGAGCTGGGCCCAGGGTCCCCATGCTGTGTGCAGCCTAGGGACTTGGTACCCTGTGTCCCAGCCACTCCAGCTGTGGCTGAAAGGGGCTGACGTACAGCTCAGGCTGTGGCTTCAGAGGGTGGAAGCCCCAAGCCTTGGCAGCTTCCACGTGGTGTTGAGCAAGTGGGTTCACAGAAGTCAAGAATTGAGGTTTGGGAACCTCCAACTTGATTTCAGAAGATGTATGGAAACGTCCAGATGCCCAGGCAAAAGTTTGCTGCAGGGACAGGGCCCTCATGGAGAACCTCTGCTAAGGCAGTGCTGAAGGGAAATGTGGGGTCAGAGCCCCCCATACGAGTCCCTACTGTGAGTCCCAGCTGTGAGAAGAGGGCCACTGTCTTCCAGACCCCAGAATGGTAGATCCACCGACAGCTTGCACTGTCGCCTGGAAAAGCTGCAGACACTCAAGGCCAGCCGGTGAAAGCAGACAGGAGGGAGGCCGTACCCTGCAAAGCCGCAGGAGCAGAGCTGCCCAAGACCATGGGAACCCACCTCTTGCATCAGCGTGACCTGGATCTGAGACCTGGAGTCAAAGGAGATTATTTTGGAGCTTTAAAATTTGACTGTCCCGCTGGATTCTGGACTTGCATGGGCCCTGTAACCCCTTTGTTTTAGCCAATTTCTCCCATTTGGAATGGCTGCATTTACCCAATACCTATACCCCCATTGTATCTAGGAAGTAACTAGTTTGCTTTTCATTTTACAGGCTCATAGGCAGAAGGGACTTGCCTTGTCTCAAATAAGACTTTGGACTGTGGACTTTTGGGTTAATGCTGAAATGAGTTAAGACTTTGCAGGACTGCTGGGAAGGCAAGATTGGTTTTGAAAGGGAGGACATGAGATATGGAGGGACCAGGGGTGGAATGATATGGTTTGGCTGTGTCCTCACCCAAATCTCAACTTGCACTGTAGCTCTCAGAATTCCCACGTGTTGCAGGAGAGACCCAGGGGGAGGTAACTGAATCATGGAGGCTGGTCTTTCCCATGCTATTCTCGTGATAGTGAATAAGTCTCACGAGATCGGATGGGATTATCTTGTTTCTGGTTTTGCTTCTTCCTCATTTTTCTCTTGCCACCACAATGTAATAGGTGCCTTTCGCCTCCTGCCATGATTCTGAAGCCTCCCCAGCCATGTGGAACTGTAAGTCCAATTAAACCTCTTTTTGTTCCCAGTTTCGGTTATGCCTTTATCAGCAACGTGAAAACGAACGAATACATACACCCCATCTCTACTAAAAAATACAAAAATCAGCTGGACATAGTGGCGCACGCCTGTAGTCTCAGCTACTCAGAAGGCTGAGGTGGGAGGGCAACACCTGGGATGCAGAGGTTGCAGTGAGCTGAGATGACGCCACTGCACTCCAGCCTGGGCAACAGAGGGTGACCCTGTCTCAAAAAAAAAAAAAAAAAAAAAAAAAAAAAAAAAAAAGACAGATTATCTACCATGCTTGAATAGCACGTATTATATATTATGGCTCTTAATCCAAATATTTTCCAGATGCAGCAATGAAGCAAGGCAGAAGTTATTCTCAGTCAAGAACTAAGTATCTTTTCAGGCCAGTTGCTTTCAAGAATCTGTTAAGCAATGTTTCCTGATAAGCTGGGTTCCATGACACCTTGCAAGTTACCAGATGTTTAGAATAGTAATTCCACATGGATGGAACTGGAGGCCATTATCCTTAACAAACTAACACAGGATTGCAAAGCCAAATAGCGCATGTTCTCACTTACAAGCGGGAGCTAAATGATGAGAACATGTGGACACATAGAGGGAAACCACACACACTGGGGCCTTTCGGAGGGTGAAGGATGGTAGGAGGGAGAGAATCAGCAAAAATAACGAATGGGTACTAGGCTTAACCTATGTAACAAACCTGCACATATACACCTCAACTTAAAAAAAAAAGGTAGTTTCAAAATAACAGCATTTTTTCAAATTCATTTATGAGACAGAAGATTTTTATTAATATGTATGACTATTCATATCACAGATATACTCTTGTTTTCAACAATTTTTGCCATTTTATTCAATTATCTTTAGTTTTGTACACAATCTATTAAAGGAAAAAATCTATTTTTTAAAAAAGCTGGTAAAGAATTAAAGATGTTTTGCCTACAATTTAGTGAATTAAAATCTGAATTTCAGTTAGAAAAGTAAAAGCAACTTTTTTTTTGAGACAGAGTTTTGCTCTTGTCACCCAGGCTGGAGTGCAATGGTGTGATCTCGGCTCACCGCAACCTCTGCCTCCCAGGTTCAAGTGATTCTCCTACCTCAGCCTCCCGAGTAGCTAGGATTACAGGTACGCGCCACCATACCCAGCTAATTTTTGTATTTTTAGTAGAGACGGGGTTTTACCATGTTGGCCAGGATGGTATCAATCTCTTGACCTTGTGATCTACCGACCTCGGCCTCCCAAAGTGCTGGGATTACAGGCATGAGCAACGGCGCCCGGCCACGCTACTTTCTTAGTTATGCTGGTTCTACAAGCTTTTTAAAACCAGACAAAAACTTAAACAGCACAGACAACCAGCATCCAACAGAAAAGAGACATAAAACTTGTTTATTCACTTTTAAGTCTTAATGTTCCTACCTAATAATCTATTTTTTAGATAATCAAAAAAGAATCAAACCAAAATATTATAAGATACTGAGTTAAGTTACAACAAAGTCACAAAAAGTAAAGAGAATTAGATAGGAATCTGATGTTTATAAACAATCTGTACATTTCCATTCTAAGGTGAATGTTACAGTTACAAGAATGTTCTGAATGCAGCATAAAGCAACATTACCTTACTTTAGGCTTAGACAATCAACTCACCAAATGCTTGGGGAATCTCACCTAAAGTTCTAAGCTACAAGGAACAAAATTTAATCAAAATAAGAGATTACGCACTTTCTTCTGAATATACTAAAAATCAGGTAGAATTTATCAAGTAGCATTTATGAAAATATGGGGCTGGGGCATATTTGTGGGGGCATATTACAAAGAGGCCAGGGCCAGAGGATTGCTTCAATCCAGGAGTTCAAAACCAGGCTGGGCAACACAGCAAGACCACATCTCCACAAAGAATAATAATAAAAAAATAATAATTAGCCAAGCATAGTGGTGCATGCCTGTGGTCCTAGCTACATAGGAGACTGAAGCAGGAGAATATCTGGGCCCAGGAATTTGAGGTTACAGTGAGCTACGATCAAACCACGGTACTCCAGCATGGGTGAAAGAGGGAGACTCTGCCATTAAAAGAAAAGTTTGATGTTCACAAAGTCTCCCTAAACCCCAGTTTCCTCATTAAGCCTGAGTTTCCTCAATTGTATAATAGACTTAAATGTGAAATTCACCTTAAAAGATTCAGTGAGGAATAGGCAGGATATTAATGTAAACAAATTTTATAAACTAAGAAGTACCATATGTTACCTATTACAATTAGTTCTGAACTTTAAGTCAAGACCCCAGGTAATTCAGGAACATCTCCTGAGAGGAAAAAAAACAAAAAAAAAACAGGTAAGGGCCAGGCACAGTGGCTCACACCTGTAAACCCAGCACTTTGGGAGGGTGAGGTGGGCAGACTGAGCTAAAGAGTTCAAGACCAGCCTGGGCAACACAGTGAAACCCAGTCTCTACCAAAAAAATTTTTTTTAATTAGCCAGGCATGGTGGCACATGCTTGTAGTCCCAGCTAGTGAAACCCCATCTCTACAAAATAATTTTTTTTAATTAGCCGGGTGTGGTGGTTGGTACATACTTAGGTCCCAGCTACCCAGAGGCTGAAGTGGGAGGATCACCTAAGCCCAGGAGTTGGAGTCTACAGTGAGCTGCGGTGATTACGCCGCTACACGAAAGCCTAGGAGACACAGTGAGACCCTGTCTCAAAAATAAATAAAGAAAAATAACAAAATAACAAAAAACAAAACAAGCAAACAAAAAACCCCAGCTAAAACAATGAACTTGAGACATGCTTTCTTATAAAAGTCCCTGAAATTGGCTTACTTTTGACAGTTCTCGTTTAACATCGTGAAGAATTATCTCTTGTGGGAGTGTTATATGACTGTTGCTCTGAATTTTTTTTTTTTTTTTTTTTTTTGAGACGGAGTCTCACTCCATTGCCCAGCCTAGAGTGCAATGGTACAATCTCGGCTCACTGCAGTCTCCACCTCCTGGGTTCAAGTGATTCTCCTGCCTCACTGCAACCTCCACCTCCCGGGTTCAAGTGATTCTCCTACCTCGGCCTCCCAAGTGAGCGAGTACCTGTAATCCCAGCTACTCGTGAGGCCCAAGCAGGAGAATCACTTGAACCCAGGAGGTGGAGGATGCAGTGAGCCGAGATCACGCCACTGCACTCCAGCCTGGGCAACAAGAGCGAAACTCTGTCTCAAAATAAATAAAAAAATAACATAAATAAATAAAACTCCATCATTAACACTATACTATAATGCAGTCAAATAATTTCTTTTAAAAAAGTAAATTTTCCTATAAAATCATTGCATCACGTATCTGAAAAAGACTCCAGTCTTTAGCTAAATCCATGAGATTACATAGAAGGACAAAATACTCCGTAAGAGTAACTTCATTTCCTTAGATCAATCTTTTTATTTCCTTTCTTACCCAGAGAGGTAAATTTCTAGAGTTTTAAAATTGTTTTCTGATTAAAAGGTGGCAAAATTTATCAAAAGATTAACTTCATGTTCTTGAAGTATCGTGTGCTCTGTATGAATAACTGAAGATATGAGAGAATTTAGACTTTTCCCATTCACACTATTACAAATGATAAATGAAAGTTTGGTTTGTTTGAGACAGAGTCTTGCTCTGTCGCTCAGGCTGGAGTGTAGTGGCGCAATCTCGGCTCACTGCAACCTCGCATCTCCCAGGTTCAAGCGATTCTCCTGACTCAGCTTCCCGAATAGCTGGGATTACAGGTGCCCACCACCACGCCCAGCTAATTTTTTGTATTTTTAGTGGAGGCAAGATTTCACCATGTTGGGCAGGCTGCTCTCGAGCTCATGACCTCGTGATCCACCCACCTCGGCCTCCCAAAGTGCTGGGATTACAGGCGTGAGCCACCGCACCCGGCCTAAATGCAAGTTTTTAATCCAATACCGAGACGTTTTTTGATGCGGGACTGAGTCTCGCTCTGTTGCCCAGGCTGGAGTGCAATGGCGCAATCTCCACTCCCTCCCTACAACCTTCACCTCCCAGGTTCAAGCAATTCTCCTGCCTCAGCCTCCCGAGTAGCTGGGATTACAGACACCCACCGCCACACCTGGCTAAATGCTGCATTTTTAGTAGAGACAGGGGGTTTCACCATGTTGTCTGTGCTGGTCTCAAACTCCTCACCTCAAGTGATCTGCCTGCCTCAGCCTCCCAAAGTGCTGGGATTACAGGCGTGAGCCACCATGCCTGGCCTCAAACACTGAGACTTTAACACGTCTACTTCTTATTCTGCTTCAGCTTGGAGGCCCATCTATGATTCACTAGCATCTGCTGTCAGCAGGTAATAAAAACAAAAAAAGAGATCAGGTTGGTTTATCAGTATGGTAAAATCACTGAGGGATGGACTGTGCTCAGGTATGGTTCACTGAAAAAGTTGTAAAATTCTTTTACAGCTTCACCATCTCCTCGCTTTTCTATTAGTTACAGCTAACCACTATACTTCATTCATTTTGCAAGATTTAAGTTACCCATCCAAAATTTACATAGGAAAATGTTTCCTATTTTACGATTAGCCTTGAGCCAAAGATTAAGCTACCACTTTTTTCACTGAGAAGCATTCCTACTGACCTCAAATCTACTAACTCCAGTATTAAAGGCAAGTGCTGCAAATAGTTGGTCCACAGCTTTAAATCTGAAGAAATAAAGTAGAAATAGTTTTGGGGCTTTGAAATCAATCAGACTTAGATTTAAGTAACACAATATAAGTCATATCTGGATGTCTGTTTTTTTCTTATTAAGAGCAATCATTTTTTTTTGAGACGGAGTCTCGTTCTGTCGCCCAGGCTGGAGTGCAGTGGTGCGATCTCGGCTCACTGCAACCTCTGCCTCCCGGGTTCACACCATTCTCCTGCCTCAGCCTCCCGAGTAGCTGGGACTACAGACGCTCGCCACCAGGTCCGGCTAATTTTTTTTTTTTTTTGGTATTTTTAGTAGAGACGGGGTTTCACCGTGTTAGCCAGGATGGTCTCGATCTCTTGACCTCGTGATCTGTTCGCCTCGGCCTCCCAAAGTGCTGGGATTACAGGCGTGAGCCACTGCACCCGGTCTGCCCTTTGCCTTTCACCATAAGTCCCAAATGTACATTATGAGATGGTTTCTATTACAGTCTTGTGATGGTTAATTTTACATTCCAACTTGGCTAGGCCCAGTATATTTGATCAAACAATAGTTTAGATGTTGCTGTGAAGATATTTCTTCAGATACAATTAACATTTAAGTCAGCAGACTCAGAGTAAAGTCAATTATCTTTATAATGTGGGCGGGCCTTATTCTATCAGTTGAAGACCTTAAGAGAAAAAGAAAAGACTGATTTCCCAAGTAAGATAGAATTCTGCCAAAAGACTGCGTTTGGACTTGAGATGCAACATCACCTCTTCCCCAGGTCCCCGGCCTGTCAGCCTACCCTACAGATTTTGAACTTGCAAGCCTTCACAATAGCATGAGCCAATTCCTCAAACATCAATCAACCAGTCAATCTCTACACACACACACCCTATTGGCCTTGCTTCTCTGGAGAAACCTAATATACTGCCATACTCCAGCAGTAGTATTCTTCTATAATATAGAACCGTTATTAATATAAGCTTAGTCTGTCACTAAACTCTACCAGAATGAATATTCTTCACTCTTCATACTGCTTGAACTCTACTCCCTGGGTACCCTCCAAGCAAATTAATGCTTTCAAGGATTATCAAATGTAATAAACTGCTCTCCATTCTACAACAAACAAGAAAGATGTGCTGAATAAGGGCTATTTGAAGAATAAAGTAGGTAACTGAGAACTCATCCTATTCTTGTTTCGTCGTTGCTTTCTTTCCACTAAGTTTTTGTATTCACTGCCTCTGCCGCTTGTAAGCACCCTCATTAATGCTCATCTTTCCTCTCTTTACTTTTCTCTCCTTGTGTCTTCTTTCTCAGTCTGTCTACCTTATCACCTCCTGGATTTCCTTATCACCTCCTGGGTGCATCCTTATTGCCACACCAGACTGATCAAACATGTTAGGTACAATCTTCATCCCAGATGTGTTCATTTGTTGATGGGTGCTCAAAGACTACTTCTTCACTGCCCCTCTAAAAAGAGAAAGTTTCAGGCTGGGCGCGGTGGCTCACGCCTGTAATCCCAGCATTTTGGGAGGCCAAGGCAGGGGGATCATGAGGTCAGGAGTTCAAGACCAGCCTGGCCAAGATGGTGAAACCCTGTCTCTACTAAAAATAGAAAAATTAGCCAGGCGCGGTGGCAGGCCCCTGCAGTCTCAGCTACTCGGGAGGCTAAGGCAGGAGAATCGCTTGAACCCGGGCGGCAGAGGTTGCAGTGAGCCAAGATTGTGCCACTGCACTCCAGGCTGGGCGACACAGTGAGACTCCATCTCAAAAAAAAGAAAGAAAGAAAGTTTCCTACTTTTGTCTTCGAAATGAAGCCATTTTGAACACCTAAAGGTTCTAAAGAAACTGAATTATGACTTTAGATTTTGTCATAAATCGCTTTTTCCTTGTACTTTCTATCTGATATCAGTTGTTGTATATTATACACATGTACAGTCATTCCAGGACCCCCCGGATACCAATAAAACAATGCTCGAATCCCTTATATAAAATGGCTTAGTATTTGCATATAACCTACACATATACTCTCATATACTTTAAATCATCTCTAGATTACTTAGAATACCTAAAAAAATAAAAGCTATGTAAATAGTTGTTATATTGTATTGTTCAGGGAATAATGACAGGAAAACTGCATGTTCAGTACTGACACAACTATCATTTTGTCTGAATAGTTTCAATCTGGAGTTGGTTGAATCCACAGTACAAAACCCATGGATATGGACGGCCAACTGCATATGCCACAAATAGTGGGAAGGAATGTGAGGACAAACATTGACTGTTTTCGTATGATTTTCAAGATTGTGGGTCACTTTTTTCCTTTAAATTTACTTTAATGTTGGCCTGCAATGGTGGTGCACTATAATCTTTGCCCCTTTGGAGGCTGAGGTGGGAGGATTGCTTGAGGCCAGAAGTTTAACACCGGCCTGGGCAACGCAGCAAGACTCATCTCTAAAAAAAAAGAAAAGAAAAAATTATAAAATCTAGCCATGCATGGTGGCATGTGCCTGTAGTCCTAGCTACTCAGGAGGCTAAGGTGGGAGGATCACTTGAGCCCAGGAGTTCAAGGCTTTGGTGAGCCATGATGACACCACTGCACTCCCGCCTAGGCAACAGAGCTTTTATAAAAGTCGTCTTTAAAAATCCTTCAAGAAGAAAACACAGTTGCCTTGTTCATTATATAACTATCTAGTCTTCCTGGGATGTTGTAATACAGACACATTCTTTGCATCTATATTAAGTTTGCTGCTTTCTATCTTATGTTCTCTCCCCTTTGTATCTAGACCAGGGGTCAGCAAACTCTGCAAAGATAGTAAGTATTTTAGGTTTTGTGGGCCATTCAGATTCTGTAGCAACTCTTCTGCCACTGCAGTAAGAAAGCAACAATAAACAATATACTGGCTAGGTAAGTGCCACGGCTCACTAATCCAGCACTTTGGGAGGCTGAGGCATGAGGATCCCTTGAGCTCAGGAGTTTGAGATCAGCCTGGGCAAAACAGCAAGACCTCATTCTACCACAAATTTAAAAATTAGCCAGGAATGGTGGCACACACCTGCGGTCCCAGCTACTCAGGAGGCTAAGGTGGGAGGATAGCTTGAGCCTGGGAGGTTGAGGCTGCAGCAGTGAACTGTGATCACATCACTGCACTCCACCCTGGGCGACAGAGCCAGACCCACGTCTCAAAAAAAAAAAAAAAAAAAAACCCAATATATAAACAATATATAATATATAAAGAGGCCGCTCATTGCGCTACTGTTGACAAGGAGCTGCCACAGCCGCCCCCTCTTGCTGTCGCCCCAGAATGCCCCTCACATCACCCTGGGCCCCCATTTCAGGCCCCCCTTTCTGGGAGTGCCCTCACCTCTGTGCCAGATCCCAGGCTACGGATTCCTGCCCCTGCCCGAGTGGAGATGCTCGCCCGGCATCAGGAGCTCCTGCAGAAGCAGAACCTGGCCCAGCGCCACAGGGGGACTCTCTGTGGATGGGGAGGAGGCCCCAGCCCTTGAGGACGTCAGCAAGTGGACCATGGATGATGTCTGCAGCTTCGCGGAGGGGCGGCTGTCTGGCTGTGGAGAGTATACTCAGGTCTTCAGGGAGCAGGGGATCGAAGGGGAGACCCTGCCACTGCTGACGGGGGAGCACCCGCTGACCACCACGGGGTTGAAGCTGGGGCCTGCCCTCAAGACCCAGGCCCAGGTGGCCAGGCGCCTGGGCCACATCTTCTACATGGCCAGCTTCCCCATGGCTCTGCCGCTGCAGCCACCAACACTGCGGGCCCCAGAGAGGGAACTCAGCACAGGAGAGCAGCAGCCCTTGTCCCCCATGACAGCCACCTCCCCCTATGAAGGGGGCCACGGCCCTGCCGGCTGAGCTTCGCCCAAGCAAGAAAATGGGACCTTGGCTCTGCTTCCAGGGCCCCCAGACCCTTCCCAGCCTCTGTGCTGAAGTGGCCAGGGGTGGGTGGGGGGTGGGGCCACACAAACTCCCAGGAGCCACCACTTGATGCAATGGCCTGCCTCCCACAGCTTGCATTCTTTCTTTCAGTTTTGGATGCAAACAAAAACAAAAACAAAATTTTAAAGGAAAATGTGAAAAAAAAAGAAAGAAAAAGATATGGTTTTGTTCCAACAAAACTTTATGGACACTAAAATTTGAATTTCACCTTTTTTTTTTTTTTTTTTACAAATTATTAATTTATCAAATGGATTTTATAAAATTATTTTACAAAACATTTTATTTTGATTTTTCGACCACTAAAAATTGAAAAAACAAACAACAAACATTTTTAGGCTTATGGTACAAAATCAGGTGGCAGGCCGGGCATGCTGGCTCACACCAGTAATCTCAGCACTTGTGGAGGCCGAGGCAGGAGGATCACTTGAGCCCAGGAGTCTGAGACCAGCCTGGGCAAAAAAGTGAGATCCCCACCTCTACAAAAAATCAAAAACAGCCAGGCGTAGTGGTGCGCATCTTGTGATCCCAGCTACGTAGGAGGCTGGGGCAGGAGGATTGCTTGAGCCTAGGAAGTCAAGGCTACAGAGAAGCCGTGTTCAGGCCACTGGACTCCAGCTTGGGGGACAGAGTCCCCTTCTCAAAATAAAAACAGCAGGATTTGACTTGCTAGCTATAGTTGGCGAACCCTCTTACATCTAGAAATTATCTGATACAGCTACTTTTAATAGTAGTATCTATTTCACAAGATTGTCGGGAAGATACGGCCGGGCATGGTGGCTCACACCTTTAATCCCAGCACTTTGGGAGGCTGAGGCGGGCAGATCACCTGAGGTCGGTAGTTTGAGACCAGCCTGGCCAACATGGCAAAACCTCGTCTCTACTAAAAAAAATACAAAAAATTAGCCAGGCGTGGTGGTGCGCGCCTGTAGTCCTAGCTACTTGGGAG